>NC_000004.12:112254714-112406229 GCF_000001405.40 Homo sapiens
TCCTCTTAACGCTTACTTTTTTGTCCTTTCAGTTTGAGAATCTAGTAGAAAGTGATGAAGTAAGTATTTCCATAATAGTACAAAACTTGTATTTGTTTTTCTCATTAATCGTCTCATTAGTTCTAACAATTACGTTTACAATTTTTATTATTTTTGTTTTAGAATTTTTATTTTCTGGTTTTTATTTTTACTTTTTAGTTCTTTATTATTTCCTTCTTTTACTAATTTATATTAGAAAATAATTCCGAATTTTTTTTTTTTCTTGAGACGGAGTCTCGCTCTGTCTCCCAGGCTGGAGTGCAGTGGCGGGATCTCGGCTCACTGCAAGCTCCGCCTCCCGGGTCACGCCATTCTCCTGCCTCAGCCTCCCAAGTAGCTGGGACTACAGGCGCCCGCCACTACGCCCGGCTAATTTTTTGTATTTTTAGTAGAGACGGGGTTTCACCATGTTAGCCAGGATGGTCTCGATCTCCTGACCTCGTGATCCGCCAGCCTCGGCCTCCCAAAGTGCTGGGATTTCAGGTGTGAGCCACCGCGCCCAGCCAATTCCGAATTTTTTTACTATCTAAGATACACTATATACACACACAGGATTTAAAGCGTTATACAGAAACCCAAGGAACTTCAGAAAGTTGTATTTCTAATATTTCTAACCTCTTGCCATTAAGTAGGTAAAATACCTAACAATCCAGAGTAGACCCATTGCTTTTTGTTGTTGTTGCCGTTGTTTTCTTTTTAAGAGACAAGATCTCGCTATGTTGCCCAGGCTGGACTTAAACTCCTCGGCTTGAGCAGTCCTCCTGCCTCAGCTGAGTAGCTGGGACCATCGGTGTGTACCACTTCACCCAGCTTTGGAGTAGGCCTATTCTTTATAGTTTTCATAGATTCTGATGTCAGATTTTCTACATGTTTATTCTACAGTTTCTGACTTTAGCCATCATCTCTTTTATCTTTTCTTTATGTTGATTTTCTACATTTCATCTCATACAACTCAGCAAGTTTTAAGATGCTTCTCAAATACAGAAGTGTTAAAAATGAGAAGGGAGTGCATTTTAGAATCAGCAAATTGTGTATATTTCAACATTTGATCTTAGTCAAAAGGCTAAGAAGCATTTCTTATGCATTCGTATAGTTAGAACTTTAGTTTGTATGCTAATTTGCAACTTCACTAAATTAATTGTGTACGTTTCTGCAAATTACTTAACCTCCCTGGGTCTACTTTCTACATCTTTAAAATTGGTTCGACTAGAAGAACACTGAAAGTTGACACTGTCGTTTTTGTTTTCTAGGGAAAGAAGAAAATGTATTAATCTTTTCCTTTAAAAATGTATTCTTTAGTCCAGCCTTTCTCAGAGTATGTATAGAATACTAGTCTCAGAGTGTAAATTAGCATGTAAAAGATTGAGATAAACTATTGTTAAACTGAATTATTTAAACTTGTTCAACTCAGCTCTTCTTAAATTAACGTGGGTAAAAATCCTTTTTTAAAATAATAATACATATTTTTCATCTGATAGGACACATTTTGGAAACTATTTTAGCCGTTTGTTCTCCCAGTAAAATATCATTCCATTTCATAGAACTTACTTCTTTCCCTTCGCAGAGGTCACTTTTGTCTTCATGTCTTTCTCTTAAAAAGTTTAAGCAAACACTGGACATGATATTTTTAAAGCATCTGACAAGTGTTAAAAGTAAGCCTTCTTTCAGCCTCCAGTAGAATTCATCCCAGCATCGTAACACTTTTCAAGAGAACTCGTGATTCCATGGATTTTCCTAAGATGCTTTTTGTTTGGTTGGCTGAGGATTTTTTAATTTTTGTTTTTGCTAACCCCTCTTCTCCTCTCTAATTTACTTCATATTTTGTGTTTGGTTTAGTTGAATGTCATCCTGTTTTGTAGTGCTACTTTCTAAACTAATGTGGACCATTTGGAATTTTATTCCTGCTATTATATTTTAACTTTCAGTTATGAATAGTTTAAATGTGTAAGAAATAGGCATAAACCTGAATAAATCCTGAAAATAGTTATGCTTTGCTTTGGAGGAAAAAACTACAGATAATTTCATAACCTTGTGAAAGAAAACAAAAAGTTGATTCTCATTATTGTATTTAAGTTGCTGTAAATGCTAAATTAGTGAATGCTGAAGCATTACTGCAGGGGAAATACAAGGTTAGGTTCCTGCAAGCCTCTGATCACAATATGTTCATCAACCAATCAGTATATAGCCTCATTCAATGTGCGTTTCTGTGTAAGACACTGTATTAAACACATATTATTGATTCATTAACTTTGAACTCACAGCCAATAGCACAAACTCATGCTTGTATGAAGCTTACCTAACACACATATTTTCCCCATAACACACATCATAGCTTTCTTGGACTTTAGGAACACTGGAATACTTAGAGGTCATTTTAAACAGAAATCACCAGCAAAAAAGCACAAAAATGCAAACAGTGTGGCATTAAATAGACTGTAAAAAGGATACTTGTTTATAGCATGAGAGCTGAAACAAGAAAGCGGAGTGTCTGTCGCCCTGTTCTACCTCATCTGGGAATGTGCATTGCTGAGCAACTCAAAATTTTTACTGCTCCATGCCTGTCCTTGAATGACCAAGAGAGCTCAAATATTGATTTTGTGGTTACAAGTAAATTTTCCAAGTAGGCAAATTTGCAAATATAGAAACTGCAAAAAAATGAGGATCAACTGTTAATATAAATGAGAACATAGAGAATATGTTGTCTCATACCATACTGACCACAGTTCATTTGGTATGTAACAAATATTTGTTAAAAAAAATTAAGAAATGTCCAGCAAATGGTTTTATGTAATTAAGCTAGATAGTAAACTAAATTTTGCTTTGGAGAAGTAGCAAAATTTTAAAGCTTTTTGTTTCAAATATTTTTAATAGTGAAATATATTTAATAGTGAAATGTATTTACTCTGATAAAAAATGGGTAAGTTGAAAGTATTTAGATTAAATAAAAATTGTATTGGTTACTTTAAATAGAATTTAGCTAATGAATTTGTTTTAATTGTTTAATTAATTTTTGTACAGGGGGAGAGCCCAGGAAGCAGTCATAGGTAAGGCTTTGTTAAAAAAAAAAAACAAAACTTCTATGCAAACTGTAAGAAAACTCTCTTAAGAAGTCAGGCTTTATCATTTGCTTGCTTTGAGACATTAAACAGTTTACATTTCAGAACTTTCAGATTTTTCTTTTTATAAGATTGAGACAAATATCATATATCTCAAAAGACTGTTTTGAATATTAAAGAATTTAATGTAAGTGCCCAGATGCTTTCCTGTTGTACCTGTTATATGTTTTTTAGTTTTCTTAAAACCATTTAATACTGATAAGTACGTTTCTTTTAAATTTTTTAACTTTATTGCCCCTTTCTTTCCTTATGCATTCTAAAACTTATTCTACTAAATTTTTTCACATCTTTTAATAGTAACTAAAACCTTATGCTATAATTATTTAAGCAGCTTTTAAATATTTTATTAAAATTGCATGTGTTACTTGAAGTATCTTTAAGTCAAAAGAGCATTCTTAATTTCAAGAGAATAGTTTTCATATACAATGTTATATTATGAACAAATAATCCTTACTTTTTTTAGTTTAGCAAACATTTATTAAGCAACTGTCGTGTGCCAAGCACCGTGCTAGACACTGGGATTTTAAAAATCAGACATAGTCTCTCCATTAGAAGAAAGAACATCCTGGTCTGGGAGATAGATTCTCGAGATGACTAATTTCAATATGAGGTAGGGAAAGCAATTAAATAGTGATTATAGAACATTCTAGGGAACCTTAGAGAAGAGGCTGTTTGCCCAAAACAAAATCCAAGAAGACATTTTTAAGGGGATAACACCTGGTGTTGATTGTTGAAAGGTTGGTTAATGCTAACTATCCAGGCAGAGCAGGAGGACATTAGAAATTTCATAAGCAAAGTGAGAGAATTGATTGTAAAGGGGCACAAGGAAAGTATGTGAGGTGATGGAAGTGTTATGTATCTTGCTTCCAGTGGAAGTTACATGAGTGTATACAATTATCAAAACAACTTTATGAACTGAACACTTAAAATCTATATTTCATTTTATTTAAGTTATACTTCAAAGAAAAAATTTTAAAGCCCTAATATATAACTAGGGCTAGCAGAAGTTAGAGCTGAAGGGACAGAAGTAGGAGATAATACCTATAAATGGCTAGTTAACCATGATAGTTACCAAGATCACCTAACTGAGGTGGGGGTTTGGGGAGAGGTGGAGCATGGTGAGAGAGCAAGGATCTGAGGATTGACTAGGCGGACACTAGAAGAGGATTCTGAAGATGACCAAGAAGTAGTAGGCAAAAAGAAGAACCAGGAGAGCTTGGGAAGCCGAGGGAGGGGAGACAGACAGACAGATGGGAATGGTTAACACTGTCCCATGAAACTGAGGTAGTAAGATAAGGACTTAAAATTGTGTATTGTATTTGGCAACATAGAAGCCATTGATTACCTTTGCTAGAGTTATTGGAGTTATGGGAGCAGAGGTAGACTGCAGCGAGTTGACAAGTGAATGGGAGGTAAGGACATGAAGGCAAGAGAAGAACAGTAGTTAAGAACAAGAGCTACACTACCTGGGGTTCAGATTCTGGCTTTGCCACATACTATATGACTTACTTAGCCATACTCTTAATCTGTCTTCGTTTCACTTCCCTCATATGTATAATCCTTATATCTACCTTAGAGGGTTGTTGTGAGGATTACAATTTGCTAATATATGTGAAGCATTGAGAAGAGAGCCAGGCACATAGTAAGTGCTAGGTATGCTGACTATTGATATTATACATTTAATTTCAGGACTTGGCTGAAAAAAAGAGGGAGCAGTAGCTTGAGATAGATACAGGTCAAATGGAGGTTTTTTCCTTAGTTTCTTCTTTCTTCCTTCCTTCCTTCACATGGAAGAGAGGTGCAAACAGACAAAAGGAATAGGTTAAAGGTAAAAGAGAGGTACTAATTGATAGAACAAGGTCCCAGAGAATTGCCTGGAGTGGGGCAGGAGAGATGGGCTCAATGGTGAGTGAGTCAAGAGTGTAAATGTAGTAGGTGACTCTGAACAAGTTAAGAACATTCCTCTTTAGAGGATGGTGAGGAGAATAGGAAGGATATATGTAAGTAAGTGGGGGTTGCCACAAAGTTGGGGCGATTCATGGTTGATACTCCTCATTTCTTAAAGTGGAGTGAAATTGCCTTTTAAGATAAAAAAAAGTATGAATAAGGAACTTGAGTATGTGAAGATTTTTAATTTGGTAGTGTAGGATATGTGAAGGAATTGCCACATATATATAAAAGGACTACTGCTGGGGTCCGAGTGCCAAATTGATGTCAGGTTTTCTCTAGCAGCCTGAAACAGGAAGGGCTGAACATGGAAATGACCCAGGGTCAGAATGTGAGTAAACCAAGTGAATATGGAATAATGATAGGAGTGTAAGAAGGTGAGTATGTTGGTAAGAAAGTAGTTCAGATCTGCCTTGGTGTCCATATTGGTTGTAAGTGAAGCAAGGCCAGAAGATGACTGGGACAGATAGACTGAGAAAAGGGAAGGATGAAGGGCCTGGGGAAGCCAGAGTGATTAAGCAGGATAAAATAGGAGGATTAAGAAGAGTTCCAGAATGGTATGACGGCTGAGATCAGGGTGTAATAGTGTACTGATGTTTATATTTTATGATGAGCATCTTGGGATATGGTTTGGGGTATATACCCATAGGTCAGATGGCTGAAGCAGAGCCAGATGAAGGTAAATAAAATCCACATTTCTTAAAAGGTAGCTGTAATGCTTTAAAAACTATTCTGATATTGTATCATCTTACCAGTTTATATACTAGAATAATAGCAAGTGTTAGAATGTATACTTTTTACTCTTAACAATTGAAGTTGTAGCAAATTGCTTTAACATTTTTAACAGCAAAATTTGAGAATTTCACTGGCTTTTTGAGTGTTTTATTTGGACTTAGACTCATCAGAAGTTTTTGTTTTTTCTTTTTCTCCTCCTCCTTTTTTTCTCTAGGCCTCTTACTGAGGAAGAAATTGTTGACCTAAGAGAAAGGCATTATGATTCCATTGCCGAAAAACAAAAAGATCTTGATAAGAAAATTCAAAAAGAGGTAAATTGTCTTTTATATTGCTTAAGTACATGTTATCATAAAGAGAGAATTGTCATTAAATAATATATTGTGTAGAGTCTTTGGACCTATATTTAGATATATACAGATGAATCTGTTTTAAGAGTTAAAAAAAATCATTCCAGCCTATTATAATTTCTTTTAGTTTGGCTTAATTTATCAGAAATCATATGCTGCCAAAAAATGGAGATAGTACATTCTTTTAAAAATAATTTCTTAATTCACAAAGTAGGAACTCTGGCAAGAATATGCACCTTGGTATTTAAAACCAACTTTTAGAGCAGGCTCACATCTGTAATCCCAGCACATTGGGTGGCCGAGGCAGACAGATTGCTTGAGCCCAAGAGGTTGAGACCAGCCTCAGCAACATGGCAAAACCCCGTCTCTACAAAAAATACAAAATTAGCTTGGTATGGTGGTGCATGCCTGTGGTCCCAGCTATTTGGGAGGCTGAGGTGGGAGTATTGCTTGAGCCAGAGAGGTCAAGGCTGCAGTGAGCCAAGATCATGCCACTGCACTCCAGCCTGGGCAGTAGAGTGAGACCCTGTCTCAAAAAGGAAACAACAACAAAAGCAAATTTTTAAAAAATTACCCTGTTTCACAATAAGTGGTTTTTTGAAGAGTTTTTATCTTGGTGTATTTGTTCTCAGAGAACCAAGTACTTATAATCATAAGTGTTAAAGTTATTTAATGTGTTTATTGAAATGGCCTATAATTATGGTTTTGCACCCACTAAACTAAATGGAATTATTCATATTCTGCTGCACATTTAAAATTTTTCTGTTTAAGACCGGGCTTGGTGGTCATAGTTCCAGCACTTTGGGAGACCTGTAGTTCCAGCACTTTGGGAGACTGAGGTGGACAGATCACTTAAGCCCAGGAATTTGAGACCAGCCTGGGCAACATGGTGAAAACCCATCTCTAAAAAAAAATACAAAAATTAGCCGGGTATGGTAGCATGCACCTATAGTCCCAGCTACTAAGGAGGCTGAGGTGGGAAGATTTTGAGCCCAGGATCCTCAAGACTATGGGAGGTCGAAGGGGAGCCACTAGACTCCAGCCTGGGTGACAGAGCAAGACCCTGTCTCAAAAAAAAAAAATAAATGCACACACACATA
Organism: Homo sapiens; assembly: GCF_000001405.40. Classification (NCBI taxonomy): domain Eukaryota; kingdom Metazoa; phylum Chordata; class Mammalia; order Primates; family Hominidae; genus Homo; species Homo sapiens. Next base: position 112,261,999 of record NC_000004.12, read on the forward strand.
TACATACATACATATACATATATTTGTCTGTTTAATGTGGGTATGGTGGCTAATGCCTATAGTCCCAGCACTTTGGAGGCCAAGACAGGCAGATTGCTCAAGTCCAGGAGTTAAGAACCAGCCTGGGCAACTTGGCAAGACCTCATCTCTGCAAGAAATACAAAAATTCACCCGGGGTGGTGGCGCACGCCTGTAGTCCCAGCTACTCTGGAGGCTGAGGTGGGAGAATGGTTTGAGCCCAGGAGGTCAAGGCTGCAGTGTTGGTGCCATGGTACTGCAGGCTGGGTGACAGAATAACACCCTGTCTCAAAAAGAAAAGTATGTTTAGGACCAATTAGTGATTTCAAAAGCATTAACGTAAGCTATACAGTAGCTGTTAATATTAGTCTAAAGAAAAAAATTTGTGTTGAAATTTGATTTTCAAGTTAACTTTAACATACAATAGATATTACTAAAGCAGCTTATGTGCTCTTATGAATAGCAAGAACTTACATTTGAAAGTAATTTTTTAATAGTTTGATAGTAATGAAATTAAGGAGACATGTGCATTGATGTTAATTAGATGGCAAGACATGAATTTTGTGAAAGCTGAGTTCACTTTGGTCACAGTGACGTAATTGATCTTAAAGATACTGGATTTATGAGGGCCAAAACCGGCAAACTAGTGAGGGTGATAGGTGTTGGAATGATTGTTTAAAATGAAGATCACTGCAGATTCTAAAGAAACACTTCTATATTTATACAGAATAGATGCTACTGCTTCATAACTCAGTTTCTAAGGAATTCCGTAATGTGTTTTATATCCTTTGGGTTATTTTGTAAAAGAAAAAATTTAAACAATTGCAAACATTTCAATTCTGTTATGCTTTGTAGAGATCAATTATTTTTTAATAATTTATTTTTTGTTTTATAAATAGAAGCATTTTATTTTTAGAGCAGTTAGACAGGTTCTGATTTTTGTTAATCCTTATCGTTTTGTTCATGTACAGTTAGCCTTACAAGAAGAGAAGTTAAGACTAGAAGAAGAAGCTTTATACGCTGCACAGCGTGAAGCAGCCAGGGCAGCAAAGCAGCGAAAGCTCTTGGAGGTGAGGGGAAAAGACCCCAGCATATATTAGGGTTGCTTTTCTCCTTATTTTCTCTGACAAATCTTAGTTGGGACTCTTTTTTTCCTATTCTCAAGGACTTCTTGTTTAACAACGAATGTGTTTACCCATATATTCTTAAGAATTTTCAAGGCAAATTAGTCAGTCATTAACAGCTAGAAATAACATCAGATTACATGCTTGATACTCAATGCTATTTAGCTTTAGATTAGCAAATGCTGATTCCTGTTTATCCTAAAGATAAATTTTAGTGCTATAAAATTCAGTATTCTTTTGGAAAAATTAAATGTACTCTTAGAGGGAAAGCGTTGCAAAACTAGCCTTTAAATATAATTGGCAAAGCATTTTGTTTTGTGAGGGTTTTTTTTTTTTTAACAGTTTTTTAAATTGCTAGAATTTCTTTTTTTCCTGGAACTGGATAAACTGTGCTATTTTCCCCATAAAATTATTACTTGCTTCTCATCTTTATTCTTGTGTCCTTGGGAGATTGGGAGTTTGGGTCTTGAGAAATCGTTGGAATATTATCAGAGAAGGCAGCAGATTTACCGTATCTTACCATGCTGCATTACCATAATGCCTGGCAGCTGTAAGTAACAGGCATTTATGGAACCCTAACTGTCAGGAGCAGCAATGTTTTACCTTATTTAATCCTCACAACAATCTTATGAGATAGTGTTTTTAATCCCTGTTTTACAAATGAGAAAACTGAGAGTAGGATATGTTTTGTAACTTGCTTGAGATCCTACAGTTAATAAGGGCCAGAGCCAAAGTTCAAGCACAACAGTGCTTAGCTGGTATCCTTAATATCTTCCTCCATATTTTGCCTGTTTGGATTCACCTCTGTAGTGTTAACTGAAGTAGTATAAAGATCATGTCACATTGTAAAACTTAGAGAAACTGAAATATCATGTCTATCATATTGTTACATGATTTCTATGTGAACTGTGTCCTTCTCCCCCCAACTTTCCTTCATTTTTTTCCCTCTCTCTCTCTGCTGTTTTAGCAGATTATATGAAGGAATATATTTTCTTTTTAAGTCAGTTCTAAATAATGAACAAGTTTTTAACTTTTACCTTCTACTAAGAAAAGTATTTTTCTGGTTATCATATAGACACTTTTTACTGTAATAGATTATCTACTGCTTCCCTTTTAAAGACAAAGCATTCCATATGCAGCATCCATATGGGTGATTTCCAGGATTCTCTGAGTTTTTCCTACCCTGGTTTAAATATTTGATGTAGGAACACATTACAGTCTATACAGCACATACTGACACACAGACATACACTGACACCCACCAAGTCATTTGATTTTCATGGGAACCCTGAGTTTGCTAGAGCAGTAATATAGCTATCTGTAATTTATAGGTGAAGGAACAGTAGGTAAAGGCCATGCCAGGGATATATAGCTAATAGCTATCAGAGCCACAACTCCCAACAGTTCTTCTAAATCTTAGCCAATTGCTTTTATTATTTCTGAGTCAACTCAGCCAGATCTTATAAATCTGTTGTTGTATTGCTACTTATTTCACCCAGAATGGAACTTCATGTATTGTTTTAACTATTCCTTTCCTGCTCCTCATTTTTCCAGTTGGTTGGAAGTTCTTGGGTATACTAAGAATGTTAAGGATATCAATACATATCTGTTAAAAAAAAGTTATTTTTTAATAACACTATGAATATTCTGGCCACTTCTGGATTACACATAGATAAATTCAGAAAAATTCTTCCCATAAATAAGGGGATATAGAATTGAATAGTGATGGATTTAAGGAAAAATATATCAACAAAATAACTTTTTTTTTTAGAAACTAGAAAAAAATACTTTTTGGTGTTGCATGAGTGGTTTTAAAATATATAATTTTACAACAGAGTGATTTTTTTTATTACATTATGTTTCCAAAGCAAGAAAGGCAGAGAATTGTGCAGCAATATCATCCTTCCAACAATGGAGAATATCAAAGGTAAATAGTGAAACATATGCCTCCTTCCCTTTGTGGTAGAACATTTTATTGCGGTGTAGAGCATCATTCACCTCAAGATGTGTATATACGCATTCATGTTTATGTGTTCCCTAAAAATTATTCCTTCTAAAAGACATTGTCTTGGAAGAAAACTGAGAACATTTAAGTTGAAACATTATTATTAATTTAAACTGACTTTATTGCATTTTTAAGAGTGGTCTCATTTCCCATATAGATGTGATACAATAGCTGAATGCCTTTGGGTGAGTTGTTTATACCCCAGTTGTTTGTGTTTTCCTTAGTCCCTCTCTTTCTTATAATAAAGTTTATGTGTGGTCATTTTTTGGAAGAGATATTTCAGTGTCACATTTCCACAAGTATCACTACTCATTCAAAGAATATTGTTCATGATTCATTATTGTAAAGTTGGACTTATGGCTAAGCTTTGGAGATTGGACTTCAGGATTAATGAAAATCTTCTTATTTTCAGTTTCATTTTAGTATTAAGAAAATTAAGAACTATTTTCATTAGGTTATTCTAATTGTACAGCAGTTATGAATTTGTATGACATAGGTCTTCAAGCCACAATGCCATCATTAGCTTATATATTTGTCATATTGCAGCTACCATGAATATATTAAAAAATTATTTCACTTTTATTACAGTTCAGGACCAGAAGATGACTTCGAATCTTGTTTGAGAAATATGAAGTCACAGTATGAAGTTTTTCGAAGTAGTAGTAAGTTTTTTAAAGTATTTTCTGTACTTTTTATGCCACAGTAAACAGATAAGTAGAGATTCTGGCTCTGTTTCTGTAGAAGAACTTTCTGTTCTTAAATTTGTAATTCCCAGATAGGTCAATTTCCTAGGTAGTCATTAATTATACAACCTCATCTTTTCTTTTTAAAAAGAAGTTGGAGCAAAGAAAAATCTCAGACTATTTCTGTAGATCCATATAGGAAGTCAAGCACTCCTTTTTCCATTTCTACTCTGATCCTAACCCTTCCCTTTCCAAAAAAAAGAAAGGAAAGGTGGGAGGAAGTAATAGAAAAGTGTACTTATTTTTTACTTATTACAGATTGACTTATAAGATTAAAATATTTCCTCAGGTTTCAAAAGCAAAAACTCTTATGCTTCCCAATACTGGAAGCATAGTATGGTAGTGGTTCCTTTTGAAAATATAGGTTGCTTTTTGTTTTATCTTTCTTGTTCATTGTTTTTTGTGCCGCTTTGTAATTGACTGTTAAAAATATTATCTAGAGTTAATCATATTTGAAAAGTTTATAATCATTTATATTTGCATGTTTGCTATGCTTAGATGGCAAAAAAAAAGAGAGAAAAGTTTCTTTATACTGTTCCTAACAGAAACTTACCAATAAAATGATTTCCAGAATTATTTCTTATGAAGCTAAAAGTAATAATAATAATATTTAGAGACAGATAATTGTTACAAAATAAAACGGCTGTTGCGGTGGAAGAGTAGATGAGAGTATTCAATTGTATTTCGTGTATATTCTAGGACTCTCATCAGATGCTACAGTTTTGACACCAAATACAGAAAGCAGTTGTGATTTAATGACCAAAACTAAATCAACTAGTGGAAATGACGACAGCACATCCTTAGATCTAGAGTGGGAAGATGAAGAAGGTATTTTATAATTCACAATTTTACCTGAAAAATTTAACGTAATCTGTGTTGATTTATGTAAATCTACCTTGGTCTTTATTTAAATGGAAATAAATTCAAGGCCTTGAAAAATCATATAAACACTTTTTAGACCATTATTGTATTGGTGATGATCTCTGTTGATAAAAATTTTTAGAAAATTGCTTAATTTTTAATGTTTCTTTAGATTTAGAAAATAAATGTCGATTTCTTTAAGGTTTTTGTAATCCAAGCCCATGACATTACTCAGTATGAAGGATTACTACCCCCTTGTGGACAGTCCAAAGCCAGAAGTTAAATATAACTTCTCTTAGAAATAAATCCACAGAAACAAATCCACCAGATACAGATCTACAAAGTTATATTAGTATCTAGCTCATATTTTTTTCTTATCTATAGAAATAACTTGTTTTACTGGGTTGAGTCTTTGTGATTTTTCAGGAGTGACAGACAACGGTGATACAGATTTAAATGTTCTTTTATGGTGGGATCTGAGCTTTAAGGTCAAAAAAGAAAATCATTAAATGTGTCTGGGAATATTACAATCTCTTTGTGAATCCTAGATTTTAATTCTGTTACCAATGTTGATTCTGTACTTACAGATTCAAATTTCTTTTCTGTCCTGTCTCCCTTCCTTCTGCCAGTAAAATGACATTATTTTTTCCTTTCAAGATTATTGACACTTTCACTTTACCAATTTCATTTTGTTCAGAATTAGATCTAGAACAGTTTCCCATAGAAATGTCTCTACTCTGTTGTGGTAGAGTCAGAAGAGCATAATACCACAGACTTTGGAGCCAGACTGAATGGATTAAAATTCTTGCTTCACCACTTTTTAGCTGTGTGACCTTACCCAAATCACTTAGCCTTTCTGTCCCGGTTACCTCAGCTATAGAATGAGAATAATGATAGTACTGTACTCCATAGAGTTGTTGGGGATTAAATCAGTTCATATCTGTGGCATATATGTCACATTAACTGGAACCTAGTAAATGCTGGAAAAGTACATGTTATCATTAGAGTGATTGTCATTCTCTGGGAAATGAAATTATGTGGGTAGGAAAAGACTTTGGCAGACATACTAACTTGGCTATATGAGACTAACAGCAGTTGAAATCCTCCATCCATTCTGTTTTATTTATGAGTCTTCAGGAATTTCATCTTATCGGATAATCGATGCATCAAAACTGCCCTTTGGTGACTGTTAATATTTATTTTTATCTGAGGCATACTTCAGGGTTAGAACCCAACAATTTCCCTTAAGAAGGCCTCCATGGGACTGGGTCTTTAAGTTAATTCACACATCAAGTCTGATAGTTAAATAAAAACTACATTGCTAAATTTGGGAGTTTTTAAATATAGCTTTATTATCTGTTCTGAGATTTTTGAAAACTCTGTTCAAATCATAGGAATGAATAGAATGCTTCCAATGAGAGAACGTTCCAAAACAGAGGAAGACATTCTACGGGCAGCACTTAAGTATAGCAACAAGAAGACTGGAAGTAATCCTACATCAGCCTCTGATGATTCCAATGGGCTGGAGTGGGAAAATGATTTTGTTAGTGCCGAAATGGATGATAATGGAAATTCCGAGTATTCTGGATTTGTAAATCCTGTATTAGAACTGTCTGATTCTGGCATAAGGCATTCTGACACAGATCAACAGACTCGATAGGGTAAAATTGTGTGACCTTGTTTATCAGTTATGACCAAATGTTAAAAACCAACTAGAATGTATAAGTGATTGTGCTTAGCCTTTTTGTAAGGGAGATGTGTAAGAAACCATGTTGTAAATGCTTATTTTATTACAAAGGAGTAGGGATGATAGGATCTGAATTGATACAGAATTAAGTGCAATTTCATCATCTGCCTTCTGCTTTTCAAGACCAATTTAATGGTCCTGTCATGTTACTGATTAAATTTACTTTGTCTTGTCTTTATAGCATTTCTGTTTACTATGGTAGATTTCCACTTTCAATTTTTAAAATTAATTTTACTTTGAATGATTTATGAAGCCTATTTCATTGTCTAACTATGAAAATATTAAGACTTTTTTGTTAATTCTCAGCCGATGTGAAGGAAGCATGAGGAGGGATCGTCAGATTCAGATTTAGAATAGTGTTCCCGTTTCCAGCATTATTTATTTCTATGACTTCTTTGGATTTTATTATCTAATAGTAAGTACAGTTGATGTGGGTAGATGACTCTAAGAAATGCTGAAGTATCGGCATTACATGTGTTTATTTACATGTCCTAGTATGATAATGTTGATTCAATCTGAACAAAAGATAATATAAAAATAACCCTTCAGAGTTTGGACATTTCAAGTTGGTAATAATAAAAAATAATATTTAAGAAGATATATATATATATATATTTAGTTTTTTCCACTTCATTTTACATGCCACTATATTGACTTTAATTGATATACAGTATTAAGTTTTTAGGTGCCATTATTTTTAAAAAATTCTATATTTCCAATGAACGATGTTAGATTTTACACAGAACATATTCTCTGCATGATTTCAGAAAAGAAAATCTAAAAAGGTAATACGGGTATTTCAAATAAAATCCTTTCTGGTATGAAAGGCTCCATTGATTTTATTAAGCCTTCCTTTACCTTGTAGTACAAGGTGCTTTAATGGGATAGAACTAAGCATATCAATATCTATAACTGCATTTTGTGCTAGACAATTACTGTTCTTTTCTCTAAAATGTATATGTCAATTTACAAGGCCAGGGATAGAAAACACTCCATAATTGCTTTCCTTGATTTTGCTGAGGATTTGGTATGATTTTAGTAAGCAAACTGTTTTTTGGTTTTTCCTTAATGTTTTTAATTTTTTTTCCTCTTGCAACAATGACGGTGCATGTTCTTATAAATATAGGAAGGTCCAGATATAAATAGTAACCTAAAGTTCTTGCTGTGCTTAAAAAAAAAAATCATGTGGCCCTTTCAATATTTGAACTGCTAAGCAATGACATCTGTAGTTTTATCTCCTTTTTTATGTCATAGAAATTAATATGATACTTTAAATATGTAAATATAATACATTAGGTAATGCTATTATTTATATCTGTCTTAACATAATTTAAGTTGTAGCTGTGTCTTGGAAATATTTTTAAGGTAATCTATATTCACATTGCCTGTGTTAATGCTTTTTAAAGTTTGTATACATCAGATGTATATTTTTGGTTTGGCATAAGCTACGATTGTAATTTTTCTTGGCTTTTTGTTCATAAAGAATTTTTTGAAGGAATGGTAACAAATGGTAATTTACAAATGGTTGTGAATAAACACATTTTTACACTTAAAGGTAATAAGTTATTTGACTATTATTGGTTTTACTCCATAAACATGCAGGTATTCTGATTCCTGACTTGTAATTATTTTATTAAATCTGATGTGAAGACAAAAGTAAATTAAGAAAGCAAGATGGAACTAGAAAATGTGTTTTAACTGTTAAAAAAAAGTTAACGTTTTGTTTTGTGTTTATAAAAAGTACTAGAAATAACTTATTCAGCAAATATTGGAATAGTATTTAATATTATTGGAACTGTGTCTGGTGGGTGTTAGGGACATAGAAGTACAAAGACATATAAGGTCTCTGCTCTTTGCTTACCATTCTGGTGAGAGAGAGAGACAATAATAAGTAAACATACATGCAAGAAAATCACAGGTCACAGTTAGAAAATATACAAGATTATAGGAGAGAGAGTAACTGGGGGCCAATTGACTACTTCTCATAGGTCAGGACAATCCTCTCTGAGGAGATAGCTTGGCTAAAACTTAATTGTTTTAAGTTTTAGTTGTTAACTTGTTAATTGTTTACTTGGCTAAAACCTAATTGTTAAGCAGGAAACAGTCAAGTAAAACCTGGTATGAAGCATGTTATAAGCAAAGGGAACGGCAAGTACAAAGTACCTGAGGTGGGAAAGAGTTTGTTATGTTCTGTGAATAAAAAGACCACTGGGAATGAAGCATCATGAGTGAGGGGGAAGAGTGGTATGAGATGATACTGGAGTGGTAGTTAAGGGCCAGATGATGCAAGACCTTGTAGACCAAGAATGAGTTTTATTTGATGTGTAATAGAAAGCCACTGAAATTTTTTGTAAGCAAGGATGTACAGTCATCATATACACATTTTCAAACGATTGCTTTAGTTGCTGTGTAGAGAATGGATTGTAAGAAGGCAAGAGTGGATATATAGCACTCCCAATGGAATATAGTGTGCCTTGGGTTTACAATGGCTGTGAAAAGGCAGAGCAGATTTGTTTTAGAGGTAGAATCATCAGGATTTTCTGATGGGTTGGATATAAGACTAAAGGAAGGGGTAGAATCAGATACTACTGTAGGGGTAACACATCTGGCATGGTGCCGTGGCTACCTTGCTCACTGCACATAGTCCACGTAGGCAAAACTCAACCACAGTCTGACACAGGTCTTGGTAGAAAACATCGTGATCCTCTCTGGATCCTCCATGGCAAGATAGGCCATCGTAAAGGAGCTGTCAAAGGGCCATTTATCTTGCAAAATACCTCCCTGTCTTGCAAAAGGCTGCCGTGAGGCAATTTCTCATCCAGCTGGTTTCCAGTGACCTCACTCTCATTCAGGTGCAGATACCGACTATAAAAATGTTTAGCTATAGTTTAGAGTTGGCTCCTCAACAGAGCTATTTCTACTTGTCATCTGTCATCTTGTCCCCTTGGTTCAGTGTCATCCAGGGATGTCCCTAAGGACCAGGTATACAGGGAGCTGACTCCATCCTGATACTGCTTTTGCTGTCTGTGTAAATAATAAACTGTCTCAATCTATTTGGACTCATTGTCTCCCTACTGGCCAAATCTATAGATGTCTGACAGCCAGCCTAGTAGCTGCAAGTGCCCTTAACTATAACTTCTTGGTTCTGATTTGACTTCAGTGTAATGGGAGGAACAGGTTTGGGAAAGTGGGGAAAATGAAAGAGTTCTATTTGAAAAGTTAACTTTGAGGTGTTCATAAGATATTTGGATGAAGATGTCAAGTAGGTGATGGGATATATGTCTGCAGCCCAAGAAAGAGGTCTAGGTTCAAGTTTGGGAGTCATTAGTAGGAAAATGGTATTTTAAGTCATTAAACCAGCTGAGTTCACCCCAGGGGAGCACATAGGCAGAAAAGCCCCACTAAGTGTTGACATTTAGAAGTTGGGGGTAGTGAAACAGTCGTCAAAAGAAACAGATACAGGAGGAATGCAGGAACCAGAGAATAGTGTCACAGGAGCCAGGAAATAAGAGGGCTCAACAATAGCAAATGCTTTGAAAAGAGGTCCGCTGCTTTAGTTGCATTTGGAGACAGTTACACAAATGAAGGGATGGAAACTGGGGAGTTGGGGATGAAGAATAAAGAACAGCTAATGCAGACAATTTGAAAAGAGAGCAGAGAAATGGGGTAGCTGGAAGGGGATGTGGAGTTATAGAAGGGTTTTTATTTAAAAGATACTAGCTTTAGAGTAGATAGGCAGATATGAACAGGGCAGGACAGCGCCACAAAGACTGTGAGGGCTGGTGACAGGGAAGGGAAAATCTAACAGGAGACATCTTGAGCTCATGGGCAACAACTTCCCAATAAGAATTTAAGATGGCAGAGTTTGGCCTTCCTCTGGGGGCATGACCAGACATGCGCAGTAAGGGGCAAAATGACAGAGTTTGACAAATATATGACCTTCCCATGGGGCTTGGCCGGGAGTGCTAGCCCAGTAAGGGAAAATTGCCCTAAGAGAGCATGTGCATAACTTCAATCACCAAAAGGCCCTTCCAGATACTGGCAAACCACTGCACATACAGGGAGGGAAGAGATGGGGAAAAAAATAGGAAATAATAAATCTCTAAGAGCCCTAAGACAAAGGTCAAGCTGGGTACTCAATCTTTTGACGTCCCCCTTCGTTCCATCCAAGTGTACTTTTTTTTGCTTCAATAAACTCTTGTTTCTGCCTTAAATATAATTCTGTCTCTTGGCTGAATTCTTTCTCCCAAGAAGACAAAGATCAAGGACTATGGAGCGTGCCCATACTCACCACTGGTAACACTAGAACTTTTGAAATGATATATTTTGGAATTATGCCCGCTTTTTTTTCAATAGATAAATATATTTTTCTAGCAGAGGCCAGAGGTTTCGTTTAACTATGTAAACATGTCCTAATCATAATTTCTTGAGAATACAGACATCTAAAAAAGATTTTATGTTAAATATGTAGTGTTTTCCCATCTTCATTTATTTGGTATTTCTGGTTAATTGTCTGACAGTAAAGGAGTTCACAAAAGAAATCTGAGATTCCACATTGAAATCCTAAATGTAAAACAACAACAACAATAACAATAAAAATGGAGAGAAACAGAATCCCTGCATCTGATTCTTGAATCCTTAGGAAATATTAAAGGTGAAAATGAAATTAAATTTGGAAAATGATATTTAAAATTGTATATTATTATTTCAAATTTAAAGATTTATTTCCTCCTACCCAGATATAGTAATGTCCTCTGTAGTTCAGAAATCTTATATGAGACCATTAAAAATGAGGACCTAACTCTGCCCCATGCTACTCAGAGGAGCAGGTACTGTGTGTAAATGCTGTGGTAAGGAGACTACATACTTTATCTCTGATATTCACAGAGACCCTATGAAGGAGGCACTATTTAATCCTTGTTTTTCAAAAAAGGAATCTGAGTTATGTCAAATTACAGGAATGGTAGATAAACCCAAGCAGTATGACTCAGAGCCCACACTCAACACTGTACAATTCTTTCCGGTAGAAATTAGGTCAGTATTGTTTTCAGAGTTTTGGGGGCTTCAGGGGATTTTTTTGCTTAGCTATTAAAAAGAATGTGTCTAACCTGGGCGGGTGCGGTGGCTCATGCCTGTAATCCCAGCACTTTGGGAGGCCAAGACAGGCAGATCACCTGAGGTCAGGAGTTCAAGAGCAGCCTGACCAACACGGAGAAATCCCATCTCTACTAAAAATACAAAATTAGCCAGGCGTGGTGGAGCATGCCTGTAATCCTAGCTACTCTGGAGGCTGAGGCAGGAGAATTGCTTGAACCCGGGAGGCAGAGGTTGTAGTGAGCCGAGATCGCGCCATTGCACTCTAGCCTGGGCAACAAGAGCGAAACTCTGACTCAAAAAAAAAAAGAATGTGTCTAACCTAACTTTGAAGGATTAAAAAACTTTCAAGATGCCGAAAGTGATATTATTATAAAAAGGTACTGTGAACTAAGGGGAAATTTCATTGTCACACCTTATTGTGACTGTCTAATCTCAGAAGTTTTCTGTTTTAAAATGTCACTGTTGAATTAGCTCAGTTGATTGTTCATAGTCAGTTACAGATTGAATTTCTTGTTCTACTCTTTTCCCCCCTTCTGACTACTGCACTTGAGTAGTCTAAAAAAAAAAAAAAAAGTCACTGTCTTGATTTGGGCCTTCAAGCAGTTATTTTACTGTTGCCACTAAGCAGGGCCAAACTGGTTCATCTCTAGTCCCTTGGTAGCCTTCCATCAGCAACAAAATTATGAAACCAGCAACAGAGCTGAACCTAATGCCATCCCAGTTTCTTCACCAGTGCTCCCAGCCCTAAGTTCATTGCTTAAGAGGTAAAGGACAAATAAGTATTTTCATGTAGGTTGAATAGGTTGGATCTGAGGACAACCCATACCAACTAGAAACCTATTAAATTCCACCCACTTGTCGTAGGGCTCATCTTGGTCACCACCTGAAATGGAGACTGATAGTTTCAATCATGGTCCACTTAGTAAAATAATAACAAAGCCTGTTATCTTAATAATATAAGTAATTAATTAAACAAGTGTTAGAGAATTGGAAACATAAAAAGAGCCAGGAGGTAACATAAAACCATCCACCACATATACACACACACAAAGTTAACAGTAGTTCTCTTCTGGTAGTAAGATTATGGCTAATTTTTCTACAAGGCATATATATTTATTTACACATATAAATTTTTTTTTAATGTAAAGCTTAAGTGAACACATACCTGATCCCACCTCCATTAAAACAAATACCACCACTTATGTTAGAGTCTAACAGTAATACTTACTTTTAAGTCAGTTACTGCATTAGATAGTAGGAACAGAATTCTCTAGAAAATGGTTATATGGCCTATGAGATTTAACCACTGGAGTTGCAGGTTCAAGAAGAGACTGCCAAGGATTCTAACACTGGCACCATTAATACACCTCTCTACCTAAGGAGCCCCAGAAAAATCACTTTCCAGGGACAAAGAAGTCCTTAAAGTGTATATGGAAGGTTTCACATCTTAGCTTCAGTACCTTGTATCAAACACCAATATTTTTGTTTGCCCCACCCCCACCCCTGTGACCATTTTTTTGAGAAAATGCTGTATCTATCCACATGATCACTGACCAGAGCAGCCATTATATAATGTGACTGCGTTACCTGAGACAAGTTGATTGGTGAAGGGGTGGGCACCTGACCCAAGCTGACCCGTCCCTGGAACTGAAATCAAGAGATCAGGTCTCTTTGGGGGATCAATAACGTGTAAAACTTGGGAGCTACAGGTGGCCATGGAGCCAATATGCATTGAGGGTCAGAGCCAGAGCATTCGAATCTCACCTGAGGTCTGCTGCATTCCTTCCTCGGTTCTATGAAATATGGTAGCTTTCCTCTAACAACCCCGCTTTGGGGTTGGGTAGCTCAGGCAGAGATGCTAACTTTGTAATCAAAACAATTCTAATACTAACCAATTGCTCTTTCATTATTAAAGCGTTCATTATTATTTACTACCGGAGTTGGGCTATGGAAAGTGTTTCTATTCTTTGGAGAACAATATAAACTTTTAGCAACCCACTCTCTCCTTTGCCAATCTTTGAAGAAAAGAAAATAGAATAAAAAATTTAATATTTCTCAAGTTGAACAAAACCCTTTCCAAGATTTACATTAGGAGAAATCATTATTCTGTACAAGATTTTTCTGGCCCTAAATATTACTTAACACATTGTTTGGATTCAATAACAATAATACATGAATCCCTTAATATTAAATTTATAACTTAGAAACACATTCATCAGCCTCAAAGACAAGAAACAGAGGTGAAAGTCTTCCAAAATAGTCAAAATGTGACAGTATACACACATTAAAGTATATACACTTCACTCATAGAACGCCTTTACCATGAGACTACACACTGTAAGCAATTCAAGCCGGGTGATCTGGCTGTAAACCCACATCAGACCAGAAGCTAAAATCCTAGAAAGAATCAATAGTAGATAACCTTATATTAAAGGGAGTATATTAGTTTTCTATCTGCTGCTATAACAAATTACTGTGATTTAGTGGCTTACGACCAACACAAATTTATCATCATAAAGTTTTGTAGGTTAACAAGTCAAACATATTCTCACTGGACCAAAATCAAGGTGTCCACAAGACTTTGTTCCTTTCTGGATATTTCTTTGTCTTTTCTGGCTTCCAGATGTCCAATGCACACTTTCCAGCTTCAAGAGACTGTCCACATTCCTTGGCTCATGACCTCCCCTTCCTCCCAGCAACAGCAAGTCAAGTCTGTCTCACACCTCATCACGCTGACATCCTGATCTGCCTCTCTTCCACTTTTACGGATCCGGTGATCAATTGGGCACACCCAGATAATCCAGCATAATCTATTTTACTTCCATCTGCAGCCTTCATTCCCCTTTGCCACATAACAACACAGTTACAAGTTCTGGAGACTAGCACATGGACATCTGGACATCTTTGGATGGGCCATTACTCTGGGCATCACAGGGAATAAACAGGAAAACCAGACACAGGAACTCCAACAGTCATTCAGGCCACTTTGTACAGGGACAAATATTTCACTCTACTGGAATAGTCCCAGGGCTGGGGAGTCGGGGTTAGGGTGCTGGACATCACATACTACTGCCCAGGAATAGACTGACAGTCTGAATCAAGATGAGGTTTAAAGCCTCTTTTGGTAAGAGGCTGGAGGGTTCCCAAAAGCATTTTTAAAAGGCTGTTACAAAAATACGGACCTCTTACTACAGGAAATTTCATTTACCTGGAAAATTGTACAGTGAGCCTCACTACCTGGCAATGCTACAATTTAACTTAACTGAATGGTTACCTCATCTACTTAACATTCATAGCTACCTTAGTTAAGATAAGTCGAATAAGTATCTTAAATAAATAAATTTTTATTTAAGAACTGAAAAAGACTTTTTTGAAGTTAATATTTTAGAAATATTTAAGCGTTTATCATAAACATTCACATACATTTATCTCTGTAAAGTGGCCCAAGAACAGTTATTTCCCTTATTTAGAAAAAAATTCAAAGAAAATGGCTAATTAAACTTTGATTTTATTATGTACATGGATACTATTAAAAAGGTGAATTCGTGAAATTTTAAGATTGTGTATAACACATAAAAGTCAAACTTCTAATTTGGTAAGTAAATAATCCTAAACTTAACACAGTGGTTCTTTAAAATGTTTAAATATTTGTCTTAGATGCTGAATATAGACAAAGAGAACTGTCATCTTAGGAGTAAACACACTATAACTCTGTAAAAAGAAATCATAGAAAAGTAAGGTAGTATTTCTCAAATAAGTCCTCCCATGCTAAAACCACAGTGACGCGCAGACACTAGCCTAGAACCTATTCCAGTACTGCAAGTACTGACAGGCTGCAAACACCAGTAACAACCTGCCTGGAGCCTTGACCTTGAAAACAAATGGCTGTTGTGAACTGATGTGACCAAACCAAGAGATGGTTCCTTACAAAAACAAAGCAAAACACAAGATGAAAATCAAGCAGAAAAAGAAAATAATATAACCTTATTTTGAGAACACGACTTCATCTCAAAGGATACTTTTTGTATATTAATCCTCACAGATTAATAAGAGCAGTTAAAATAATTTTGTGTAGATCCAGAATACAACAGGTGACTAAGTTAATGACTAACACAATTTACAGACTTCAAAATGATAATACTGAATTCCAAATTTCACAGCATAACAGATGACTATAATATACTACCCTAATCAACTCTTATTTAGTGTCTATACAGCATCTACAGAGCTCTTCATCCATCATATTTCTCCTCTTAGACTTTCTGTGTTCATGACTCATTTTCATCCATTTCTGTCGGAGAACTGCTTTGGGAGGAGCAGAGCGAATAAGTGCCATACTCCGGTATGGGCCTGTGTGGTGGCCAGTTGTTTTCTTGCAAGAGTGATCTTGGAGATAAAATAAATTGAGTCTCAAAAAATTCCAATGACTCGCCATCTTCCTTCTCCATCAGAAACTGATACTCTCCGAATCTGACCATGCACCTGTATGGCAGGTCCATTTTATTTAGGTAGCCCAGCTCTCTGCTGTCCACGATCAGATTGGTCTTTTTACTCATATTTTTTATTTCAAAGGAGAGAACTGAGCTGTTGAATTTTTTAAACAGCTGCAGAGAAAACTGAACTCGGGAAACCTGTTTGTCCTGAAAAGTATAATGACAGATGTTGGAATTTCGGCCAAATTTCACCACTTCGCTGGAAGGGAGTTTCTCTCTGTTAAAACTTATTGACTGAAATATTCCACACTGCAACTGGCCAGGATGGTAAACCGTCATCTGGAGACAAGTTACTGTCTCTTCTGTGTCAGCATCTTCAAAACTGGTCATGATGTGCACAAGGCCCACCTGCAATAATTAAATTACCATGTTAGTTTCTGCTTATGCTTGAGGCATTGAGAACTTTGATTCTAACGTTTTGATGAACATCATCTGATAGGCAATTTATCTGGACTTTAAGAAAACAGTACATAGACAATACTTTCAGTGAACTAGTAGATATGTGAAATCTTATACCAAGCCCTATAAAATTGCTACACTAGCTTCTCCTATCTTTTTCATTTCTAGTTTGACTATAACACCATACATAAAATGCAGACAATAACAAAGAATGATTTTTGATAATAAAATGATTTGAGGGAAGCATAAAGAAACCTCAGTTCCTCTTTCACCTAAATAGAGTGACTTGAGCCCAGAGAAAATATGACAGGTGTACTTTAAAAAGAAAATTAGGAAATAAAAAATCTCTTTGGTTTGAATACCTTCAGAGGATATATACATAAAGCAAACATAGTTTATTAACTGGATTATAATTAAATATATTATGAATTGTGAAACCTGGTTAAAGAAAAAAACTTAATAGTTATAAACAAACAATTGTAACATTTATCCTTTATATCCTCACTTTGATTTCTAACAGGTAAATGATTAAAAATAGTAAATGCTTTAAATGGTTATTTTATTCTATAATTTCAAATTTTAGACATTACTTTTAAGAATATAAGTCTCCATGAGTTGGTTCTAATTATCACAGCCTGCACTGGTATCAGAATTATTTATTTTTGTCAGTGGTACTCAATGACTGGATGGACAAACTGTCATTAACTACAAATAGCACAGTCCAACTGTTGTTAACCACATCCCTTGAGAGCCGATGGCCCGAGGTGCCCTCCACCTACACTTCACTTCATATATCTTTGGTAATTAGTACAGTACTTAAAAGCAGTATAACAGGACAGGAGAAATAGCTACTAAAATTTTTGTGAAGTTACTTCAACAGAGAATTGCCATTTTAAAACTAATTTTTTAAAAGTACATGTACATGATTTTAAAATTCAAACACTAACAAAGGATTTAAAAAAAAGAGTATTTCTCCCCCACCTGAACTCTTTGTCTTTCTCTCCTAGAGTACAACCACTGTAAAAGCTACTTTTATCCTTAGAGAAATTTTGTTTACATAACCAGCATAACTATATGTGTGCACTCTCACACACACAAACACACATACGAGCACATTTCTCCACAGAGAAAAAAATTTCTTACACAAATAGAAACATGCTATATTTAGTTCTGAACCTTTCTTTGTTCCTCTTTTTTTTTTTTTGAGACAGGTCTCTGTCGCCCAGGCTGGAGTGCAATGGCGCAATCTCAGCTCACTGCAAACTCCACCTCCCGGGTTCAAGCAATTCTCCTGCCTCAACCTCCTGAGTAGCCGGGATTACAGAAACGCACCACCACACCCGGCTAATTTTTGTATTTTTAGTAGAGACGGAGTTTTGCCATGTTAGCCAAGCTGCTCTCAAAACTCCTGAGCTCAGGTGATTCACCCGCCTCGCCCTCCCAAAAGTGCTGGGATTACAGGCGTGAGCCACTATGCCTGACCAATTTTTCAATTAATAATACATATGGGTGATAATTTTCCCATATCTACACTTACAAATATACCTCATTCTTTAACAGCTGCACAGAATTCTGTAACTGTAGCACGGCGAGAAGTTACACCAGTACCCAGAGAGATGCTGAGTGCCGCCTGCATTCCTTGGATGACTCTCCCTTGCTGCAGCTACCGGACACTGTCTGCTTATACTGATTTGGGGTTTGGAGATAATCAGTCTTAAGTGAGATTGATTTGTAGTTTTATTGTTTTTTGTTTGCCATCTATATTAGATGTTGGCATCAAAATTATGCTGGTTTGAAATATAAAAAACAAAAACCAGAAAGAATATTTTCTTTCCCTTTCTATCTTGCTGGCATTTCCTTTTTTTTTTTTTTTTTTTTTTTTGGAGACAGCGTCTTGCTGTCACTGGAGTGCAGTGTGCAGTGGCGTGATCTTGGCTCACTGCAACCTCTGCCTCCCAGGTTCAAGCAATTCTCCTGTCTCAGCCTCCCGAGTAGGTGGGACTACAAGTGTGCGCCACCACTCCCAGCTAATTTTTCATATTTTAGTAGAGACAGGGTTTTACCATGATGCCCAGGCTGCTCTCAAACTCCTGAGCTTAGGCAATCCACCCACCCTCGGTCTCTCAAAGTGCTAGGATTACAGGCATGAGCCACCGTTCCCAGCCCTGCTATTTACTTTTAAAATATAATCTTTCCTTCTGTTTTACAAAGTTTTGCTGCTGGGAATCAAACTCTCAATTTATTCAATTATCCAACAAATGACATAGCTAAGCAATATTTCTTTTCTATTGATTTGAAAATGCATCTTCAATTTTATTTTCATAATATATTTTTGAACATTATTGCATCATATTGCTCTACCCAAGCAGGCCACAGATGTCCAGCTATAAGCAGAAAAACTGAGAAAAATCCTCAAAATCCTGTGCTAGGGGTGGTAAAACTTACTATGAAGCCAAAGTCAGCAAGAATTAACACACAATGGGTAAAACTGGTTAATCCATATTACACTGTGATTTGAAGACACTATAATTATGATAATAAAGTCTCATTATTCAGGAAGCAGACAGCATAAAAGAATAATTATAAGTCATGGGATGATGCATTAGCAGTCGACAAGAAAAGCATTTGCTATTAACAAGAGCCTGAAAAGAAGTGTCAGAAATCTGTAAGTGATCTCCAGCTTTATTTACAATATGCTGCCATCAATTTAGTTCATTCTTGGACTTCAGGCGATAAGAATTCCAAAAGGAGAACTGTATTAAAAACCATGGTGTATTCTGGATCTAAATAGTCTTTTGGTAACATCCAAATTTTGTTTTTGTATGCTTTATATAAGCTATTACTTTATAATTCAGTCTTCTGAGCAAATCAACCACAAGAAAAGCTTACCCCATATAGGTTCTTATACTCAGTCCCCAGGACAGATATATTATCCACTGTTAGAGAGAAAAAATGGCATTCTGGTTTATACATCAGTGGCTATGAGTGTCTTGGGGCAGATCAATTGTCTGGGTTTGATGAATCTCTGGGTTCACAATTGTGACTCCATCCAACAAACACTGAGGCAGACTGCTTTAGTGTCAAATATTTGCTACCCCATCCTTGCAGGCCTGTCCCTACCAGTTCTGCCCCTTTAAAATGATGATCCACTTCATTAACAACCATGTCAATGAAACATGAATGGCAGTGACTTACTTCCAAGCAGAAACTTAAAAGCCACTGTGTAGTTCCACCTTCCCTCTTTCTTTTGTCAAAACATCAGCAGTTCCCACAAGGAGCAGCTCAGTCTGGGTCCCAGAGGGAAGAGCCGAAGACAGATACATAAAGGACAGTTAATATTAGCAAAAAAACCAACCCTTCTTCCAATAAGCCACTGAGATTTTTTAGGTCATTTGTTACTGCACTATATCAGAGCCTGAGCTGATGGATGCATTCACCTATCTTATGAAGGTATAAAACCACAGCAAACTCTGACAGTGATATGGTTTGGCTGTGTCCCCACCCCAATCTCATCTTGAATTATAGCTCCCACGAGTCCCACATGTTGTGGAAGGGACCTGATAGGAGGTAATTGAATCATGGGGATAGGTCTTTCCCATGCTGTTCTTGTGATAGTGAATAAGTATCACAAGATCTGATGGTTTTATAAGGGGGAGTTTCCATGCACAGGCTCTCTCTTTGCCTGCTGCCATCCATGTAAGATGTGACTTGCTCCTCCTTGCCTTCTGCCATGATTGTGAGGCTTCCCCAGCCATGTGGAACTGTGAGTCCATTAAATCTCTTTCCTGTATAAATTACCCGGTCTCAGGTATGTCTTTATTAGCAGTGTGAGAACAAACTAATACAGACAGGAATAAGGGCTATTACTTATTTCATGCCTTTCATGTGCCAGGCAGACTGCTGATACCCTGATACACTGTAACCAAGTACCTCCACTTTTCTAAGTCATAGTTTAATTTTTTTAATTATTTTCTCTTTTCCCTGTGCCCCACTTCCTACTTAGACCTTCAGAAATGCAAATGTAACCATTCACCTTTCCTGACCAGAAATTCCCTACAGGGCAAGTATATCTAACTATGTGCTCCAAGACAACCTTAACTTTGATCTCTCCTGGAGAGTTGACAGTCGATTTGCAGACCAAAGCATGTCCCCACAGAACTCTCACCTCCAGGGGGTGGCCTCTGAACTCACACCTACTAGGAGGGCATGGTGAGAGTATGCCCACTTGGCCACTTATATAACTTATATTTCTGCCCAGGAAGGTGTCAACTCAACTGTCTGGTAGATAAAGCACCAGGGAAGCGGGGGACCCCCTGCTCTGGCTCACTTCCCACCCTACTTTATAAAAGAGGCCCACTTTCTGCTCCAAAAGTGAAGCAGCACATTCTGGGTGTGGATAAAGGCAGGACGTTTTGTGCCCCCTTCTCCAAGCTAGCTTAGGAATTCACTTTTTTTTTGTACCAGACCTCACTCTTGTTAATTGGACTCTGCATGCAGCGGGCAACTAACCTACTTTTTGGTGACAACAGGTCATCTAATCTTCAAAATAACCCTGTGAATCACTGCTTCACTGATAAGGGAGCTGAATCTCAGAGGGTTTAAAAACCAGCCCAGATCATAAATCCAATGTCAGAGACAGGACTCAAACTCCAATGCATCCTCTCTTAACCATTACAAACACTGCCTCCCTGGTTACCAGCTACTTCACAAACTTTAGCAGTTAACCTGTAGAGAAGGGGGACATAAATGTGTGTGGGCTACAACCAGCAAGGCACCAAACAAGAATCTAATACTGGGGAGGGAAATACACCATTAGTGCTACCTCATAGGAGGAACAGGCTCTGAAGCACCAGGTTACGGTGAATATCAGTAACCTGGGTATCAGTAAGCCTGGGTGTATAAATGTTAGCATGGACCTAGTACTCATCGGTAATTGTGGCAGGTTGTTTGGAGACCATGTTGATCTCTGACCTCAAGGAACTTAGAAATGAATCTATTTGTTTATCCTCAAAGCCACAGAGTCCCTCTACAAAGTGACCTGAACACTCTGACATTTCAGAGTGGTCAGCAGAAAAACAGGAAAGACAGAAGCTGACAATTAAAATAATATAGTTAAAATTGTTAGATTTTAAAAAATCATTGGTGCACATTTGCTCAAAACAGCATTTTGAAATCTGTTAGTCGTAAGTTATCAAAGAAACAGGGCAACAATGATTTTATATAGTGATAACAATGGTTACCTCTGGAGACAGAAACTGGGGGCCCAGGATAGGAAGGAGACTTACTCTCCACTGCACACACACTCTACACCTTTGGAATTTTATACCATGTGCACTTCAATATCTATTCAAACACTTAACAAATATTTTCCTTACAAAATCACCAACCTCTGATTTTTATGGAATTGACAGTGGTTGGAGATTAGCAAAGTATTATTAAAGGGGTAAACTGTGATATCTGACATGGAAAAGTTGTAAAACACTGATTAATATCTGACAAACAATAATATCTGTGTTAACAAAGGAAATACAATAAATATAGAAATAAAAATAAGCACTGCAGTTGGGAACTCTGTCTCTGAAAGCTGAATACAGAAGGCATAGATGCTGCATCTTGAGTGTCCAGCTCTTCTGTGCTGGACATCAGGATGTATACACTTAACCTGGGAGGCTTAGAGTTGGGAAGAGAAGAGTTAGATCGAGGGCAAGGCTTCTGACTCCTCTCTGGGGAAAGAAGAATGGATACGTGTAGAGGTGCTATGTGCAAAAACAGCACCTCCACCTCTGCTACCCTCCCTGCAACACAACACACACACACACACACACACACGTACACACACACTCACTAAGGTCCTGCAAAGCCCGTGAAGAGACATACCACCTCTCCTTGCCAAAGGGTGTTCGGCCTTAAAATGCCATAAACAAAAACATATACAGAAATATTTTCGCTACAAGGACCCAGATGTCTAAGCAGTTTAACAGAAAGCTTGGCACCCCTGGGTGGTCATGCATGCCAACCAGATTTCTCATGCTTTAAGAAGTCTATTTTTTAAAACAGGATTGACCAAACTAATGGGGTCTGCTCTGGATGGTGAAAATGTTTACTTTCATTTCCCCCCAACCCCCTCGCCTCCCCAGTTCCCCCTGAATATATTCTCAAGAAAGAGTATGTCTTTGGGTGGTTGCAAGTAGGAAGTTTCAAGGCTTTTCTCCCTAACGAATACCGAACACTGAGCACACAGGAGGGGAACAGAAACTTGGAAGCAGAGCAAAGGACCAAGTTATCCTCCTGTCTAACCCTGCTCAACAGGATCACCCTGAAGTGTGGCTCTGAAGATATTTGTGAACTCTGGCACAGCTGTTTGGCAGAATTAATACTAAAACCACAGGTCTTGCAAAAACAAAGAATCAAAAAAAAAAAAAAAAAGTGAAAACCAAACAGCAGGAGGAAACCCTTAGGAAAGCTCGGTGTCTTTCAGACATGAGATTTTCTTTCTCCCACTCTACTTGACTGGCCTGACCTGGGGTCCAGTCCCACTTCCTGGTGGCTGCGGAAATCCGCAGTGAGGCTCAGTGTGGATTTTGGCTTCAGAGGATTTGGGAAATTCCACCTTTCAATCTGAAATCTGGGGAAAGTCCCAGAAAACAACGGATTACTATATTTCTCTCATGAACCAGACTGAAGCAAGGAGTCAGGTCTAGGACCAAGGACCTCGGCACTCCAGGGAGCCCAGGGCCCCTCAGAAAGGTCTCGCTTGGCCACCGAGAGCGTGGGGCCGTAGCAGTTGGCAAGCGGGGGAGGGGGGTCACGCACAACTGCTCTGGAGCCACACTGCATAAATGGCATTCGTTTTTGTTTTCTGATTAGAAAAACGTTGAAAAGAATACCAAAGTACAGAGAAAACACACCCCCATCTCCAATGTTTCCTCATTTATGTAAATATTCTCATATTTTATAAAACAGGGAGGTGCTGTCTATAATTTTTGCAGGCTTTCCTTAGCATATGGTGAGCGTGTGCCAGGTGAGCAGGAGCAGCGGGGGATGACTTCCGATCCGACACCCCCAAAATCTCCTGGACAAAGCTGCTGTCTTTGCGGGATAAACAGAAAAGGGCCAGTCCCCACCTCACCCCCAGCCCGCCGCCCCGCAAGTACCTGGGGCTGGGGAGTCAGTGAACTCTCTTCAGCTGTTCGGCTCTCCCGGCTCAGAGCGAGGGGAATCGAGGAGACTGGGCGCAGGATGGGGGTGGACACCCGGCCGCTGCTCCTCCGCGCGGGTAAGTGTGAGCCCCGGGGTGCGGGGAACCGAGCCAGGGACCAGTGACCGCGAGCCGCCGATCCTCCCGCGCTCCCGCGCGCGCGGCCTGCCTTCCCACTGGCTGGCAGAGCACGTCCTCTCGCGCCCGGGGCCTTTGTAAAGAGCGCAGCGGTGGCGCGGAGGTTTTCAGGCTCCGCCCGCTCCACTCGCGCTCCCGCCCCTTCCTTCCTCTCGAGGTGACCCGGCAGCTGGCGCCTTTCTCACCAGGTACCCAGCCCCCTGGCCGCCTCTCTCAGTTCTCTGGCAGGGTTTGGTGCGCGGTACACCGACCCGGACCGCGCCTTCCCAAACGAGTGGCCTCTCCTCCAGCCCGATTGGCGAGCTAGAGAAAAGAAGGGAACTGGATCACTTCAGCATTAAGGAGGACTTTTCCCCAAAATGAGTGTTGCCCCAGGGCGTGGGCAGGCGGGGAGCTGAACTAATCTTTCGGTGACTCCAAGGATACCAAGCAAGCCAGTGCGTGGCATGCACGAGCTCCTCTAATCATCGCAGTCCCCCTTACACATGAGTAAACCGAGGCTCAGAGAATGGTGGAGTGTGGCGAGCAGAAGTGGAATTTTTTTTTTCTTTTTTTCTTTTTTTGAGACGAGTCTCACCGTGTCGCCCATGCTGGAGTGCAGTGGCGCCATCTCGGCTCACTGCAACCTCTGCCTCCCGCAGAGGCGGGATTTGAACTTGCTCCAGGTTGCCCTCGCCTTACACCCAGCAGAGCAGTCCAGTCGCTTTCTCTCCTGCCGCTTGCATCGTAATGGACATCCAGAGTCCACAAGTAAAAGCTGGTACATGATGAAATGGGAAACACCTCTCAGGAGTCCTTTATAGCTTAGAAGAAGGTAATGCTACCTTTCTGCCTCAGTGAAAAGATTTGGAATCACCTAAGTGTGAAGAACCTAAGGAGAGTAGGTGTCAAGAGAGGATAGACCCGGGTGCCGTGGCTCAAACCTGTAATCCCAGCACTTTGGGAGGCCGAGGTGGGCGGATCACGAGGCCAGGAGTTTGAGACCAGCCTGGCCAACATGACGAAATTCCATCTCTACTAAAAATACAAAAGTTAGTTGGGCTTGGTGGTGGGTGCCTGTAATCCCAACTACTCGGGAGGCTGAGGCAGGAGAATCACTTGAATCCGGGAGGCAGAGGTTGCAGTGAGGCCGGGATGGCGCCATTGCACGCCAGTCTGGGCAACAGAGTGAGACTCTGTTTAAAGAAAAAGAGAGAGAGAGGATAGACACTGTAGAGACCAGCAATCCCTGTTGGGAACCAGTGTCATGGAAGACTTTTTCCACAGACTGGGGTTGGGGCCACGGGAGATGGTTTCAGGATGATTCAAGCCCATTTCATTTATTGTGCACTTTATTTCTATTATTATTGCATTGTAATATATAATGAGATAATTATACAACTCACCATAATGTCGAATCAGTGGAAGTCCTGAGCTTGTTTTCATGCAACTAGACGGACACATTTGGGGGTGATGGGAGACAGTGACAGATCATCAGGCATTAGATTCTCATAAGAAGCGGGCAACCTAGATCCCTCCCATGTGCAGGGTTCCTGCTCCTATAAGAATCTAATGCCCCAGTGATCTGACAGGAAACAGAGCTCAGGCAGTAACACAGGTGACGGTTAGCAGCTGTAAATACAGATGAAGCTTCGCTTGCTGGCCCTGAGCACACCTCCTGCTTTGCCGCTGGGTTCCTAACAGTCCATGGACCACTGCCAGTCCATGGCCCAGAGGTTGGGGACCCTTGCCATAGAAGGAGAAAGAAGACTGAGGATAGATAGAGGAAGGAGGACAAAACTTGGCTTGGCTGAGATCACAGCGGCCTACTTCTTCGCATGGGAAACCAAATTCTGATGATGGAAATGAGTGGAAGCCCCTTGTCTGTCTTCTGTCCTTGAGTTCAGGAGAGTTGCTTGTTTGTGGATCAGTTTCACTGGCAATAAAATGACACTGATGTCCACCTGATAAAGAGGTGCTATGGGTGCGGTTAAGTTTTGAACTGTGTCAGAGCTAGGTATAATCAAGTACAGTGACTGTGGGGAAAGAAGGGTACATTTACAAGTGAGGCAGATTCCCGTAAGGGCTGCAATTTTGTTAATCATCAACATTTATTATTTCTTCTCTAGAAGTGACAGTCAGGGTACCTTCTCTCAGCTGATGAACATGAGAGCAGGTGGAAGATAAGACGTGCTATCTGATTATGTCAGTGAACTCATACAGTAGAACAGTATTATCAGAATTGGAGTTTCCAATCTCTAATTTGAAAACTGACAAAAGGCCCAGAAAATTTCTAAAAGCTTGAATAAGGCCAGAGCCCCCAAAAAAGTGACTATTTATTTCTGTACTTTCAATTTATTAAGTTTTCTGAAAATCACCAGGGGACATTTGCAAAAGAAGCAATTTTAAGTCACTCATATCTAAATTAGGCAAAGTAATTTGTAATATGGGCTTTATTATTGTTTCAGTTTGTATAAAACCATTAAAAATGATTATTTTTAATGAAGAGATTATTTTAGTTATTATTTAAAACATGAACATCATTCTTTGATAACGAAAATGTCTTTACTGTTAAAGAAACACAATAGGAATTTTAATTATGCAATGAAAGGTACTAGACATTTCAGGAAGGGGTTTATACAAATATCCTCATCTCAGGCTATTATTTCTCTTAAAACAAGCAAATTACTAAAGTCTGAAAGTACTTTGGCCAAAGTTACATCAGACTGAGGAAATGTAAGGCTTCCACTGTGTGCCACCGTTACAAATATGCTAATGAGAACATAGCAGCTGGAAATCACCTTTGAGGCCCTCTTATTGCGGTTTTTCTTTTTGAAAAGAAAAACCAAAAAACAAAAATATTTTTGTTTCAATGTGATCGTGTCATTTTGATAAATTCATTATCTGATCCTGACATAGCCTTAAAGTGTGAAACTTTCTCTTGCACATAGAACTGCTCATGGGCTGCCAACATCTTTTAAATTAGACAGATGCAGTTAAACTCTCCTGTGAATTCAACAGGATTTTAAACTTGGTTAACCTCACTTGCTACAACCAAATGCCCTGAGTGGTGTTGGGGTTATAGGAAGTAACATAAATGCTTTCAGGAAAAAATTACAAGAAACCCTTCAGGGAAATGACTATACTAAAAGTTGGGCTAGGATTGTATTCAAAATAGACGAAAACAGTAGGCATGTGTTATTGATACAGAAAGGAGGGATTTACTGTTTTAATTACCAATGACCCATCATTTAATTTGAAAATAACATAAAATGCCCATAATCCATTATATTTCGATCCAGCTTTGAACAATTTGAAATTTCTAAATTGTATTAACGTTTAAAAAAAAAGTAAAAATTTATCTTGGCTCTCCTATTCAATTGATGGCATGCCATCACTTCCTGTTATCATCATCCCTCATCCCCATGACATGGGTCAATATAATTTCTAATTAAGTTACTTGGTTGTTTGGAAATACAAAGTTTTTCCGTGGCAAGAATCTTAAGAGTTTTAGATATTTTTGCTAGCCCATAATTAAGATGATGTACATTAAACGCCTACTGTATGTTATTTAACATAAAAAATAAAAGCAGCTAATTTGTGGTAATACAATCACACCATGTAAAAAAAAAGAAGAGGTGCATGTTTGTGTTACTTGCTGATAAATGAATTATATGACCTCGCTTTCTGTCCAAGGCGTTCTAAGCACCTGAGACCCACACTTGTCTAACTCTCCCCTGTCCGGCCCTGACGTTTACATTATGTGCAGTTCAGCTCAAGTGTGTCTCACCGCCTCATGGTGGATGCTCTCTGCTAACAAGTGAAAACATTTAGAATCACCTGAGATAGCTGACCTAAATCGTTTTCCACTAGTTCCTAAATGAGGGACAGGCGGCAGCCCAAATCTCTTCCTCTTCCCTGTTCTTGAAGTCAAGTGACCACAATTAAAATTAACAACTTAAAGCCGAGCCCAGTGGCTCACACCTGCAATCCTAGCACTTTGAGAGGCTAAGGCAGGCAGGCAGATCACTTGAGGCCAGGAGTTTGAGACCAGCCTGGCCAAACTGGTGAAACCCTGTCTCTACTAAAAATGCAAAAATTAGCCATAAGTGGTGGCATGCACCTGTAGTCCCAGCTACTCAGAAAGCTGAGACATGAGAATCGCTTGAACGTGGGAGGTGGAGGTTGCAGTGAGCAGAGATCATGCCACTGCACTCCAGTCTGGGCAACAGAGTAAGACTCTGTCTCAAAAAAAAAAAAAAATTGAAAAATAAAATGAGCATTTTAAATCTATGTGTGAAGGATGCACTACTAAAGAAAACAGAGTGCAGAACAAAAATGCTAGCATTTGTGGAAAAACATAAATATGTGAACTATCCAAGGAGATAGAATGGATAATGTTGGTTAATTCTGAGGAGAACATGGCTGACAGAGGACAGAAGGCTGGAGTCAGGCAGAGAGTTCTCACTGTGTCCTTTTTCCAACAGTTTGGCTTTTTGTAATTATCTTCATGTGTTACAGTTACAAACACATACAGACTTTTAAAGAAGAGTCGAGTAAGAGAAATCCCCCAAGAGACAGGTCTCAATGCTTTAAAGCCTTAATATTTTTCATATGATGGAGGTTTACAACAAAATTCAGGCTCTCAAGAAAACAGTCAGATGGTGAGGAGAAAAGTGGATCCCCTAAAGACAAGGCCTCT
This sequence comes from Homo sapiens, assembly GCF_000001405.40. Lineage (NCBI taxonomy): Eukaryota > Metazoa > Chordata > Mammalia > Primates > Hominidae > Homo > Homo sapiens. Next base: position 112,290,503 of record NC_000004.12, read on the forward strand.
CAAGGGTGCAGGGAGAGGAATGAGTCAGCCTGTTTGGGCCATCATTTCTGTCCCACGCTGGAGGCAGTTGTGGGAAAGGTGCTGTGGGAGGCAGAATTCTAAAATGGCTCCCTAGGTCTTCACCCCCTGGTATGCACAATTTGTATAATCTCCTCTTGAAAAGAGGTAGAACCTATAAATATGTTGTAATATCACTATGGCGATTAGGTTTATAATCAGTTATCTTTGAGTTAACAAAATGGGAGATGATCCAGCTGGGCTGGGCCTAATCAGGTGAGATTTTGTTTTTGTTTTTGTTTTCTTTTTTTGAGACAGGGTCTCATTCTGTCATCCAGGCTGGAGTGCAGTGGTGCGATCTCTGTTGATTGCAACCGCCACCTCCTGGGTTCGAGCGATTCTCCCACCTCAGCTGAAACTACAGGAGCATACTACCATGCCCGGCTAATTTTTTTATTTCTTGGTAAAGGTGGGGTTTCACCATGTTGGCCAGGCTGGTCTTGAACTCCTGATCTCAGGGGAGCCTCCTGCCTTGGCGTCCCCAAAGTACTGGGATTACAGGCACGAGCCACCGCACCTGGCCTAATCAGGTGGGTTATTAAAGGTAAAAGGACTTCACCCTTCATGAAGTCAAAGACACATGCTCCTGCTGGCCTGGAAGGAGCAAATATCCATGCAGGAGCTGCCTACGAAGGCCACATGGCAAGGAAATTCCAGTGGCATCTAGGAGCTGAGAGTGGCCCAGTCAATAGCTAGCAAGAAAATGGGGGCCTCAGTGCTACAACTGCAATTCTGCCAAAAACCTGAATAAACCTCGAAGGACCCCAAGCCTCAGATAAGAAGTGCAGTGCTCTCAGCTATAAGTGTGCCCAGACTTCTGACTGACAGAAACCTTGAAATAATAAATGAGTGTTGTTTGGTTTTTTGTATATCATAGAACCTTCATTTTTCCTCTAAGTTATTAAAAAAACTTATATAACATCCATGCTCTAGTTATGACACCATTTATAGATGTGTAAAATGCATCTTCATTTGTATATATTTTACAGATAGTTTAATAAGTGCTGTTTTAAGCTGCTAACTTTGTAGCAACCTGTTATGCGCAATTTAAAAAGCTAACATAGTTGCTTTTGTTAGAGGGTCCCAGTCAATTATGAGGGTCCTCAACTTTTTCTGGCCTAAAGCCCCCAGTCACTCATTATGAGGGCTTGAGGCCATGTAGGCAAGCATGGGAGGAACTGATTGGGGGAATACATTATTTCTACCTGTCGTATACTCCCCTCAAACCGAGTAACTTGATTTTTTCCTTGTTGAATCTAAACTTTCTCAAATAGTACTCGTCAGTGTAATTTTTAGTAAAAATCAACAAACAAAAAAACCTCTCCCCTTCTTTAATGTTACATTTAAGTATTTATATTTTTATACTTCAAGTGTTAGTACTTTTCCTTTAACTTTTATTTTATTTTATTTTTTGAAACAGAGTCTCTCTCTGTTGCTCAGGCTGGAGTGCAGTGGCACAATCATGGCTCACCGCAGCCTCAACCACCTTGGCTTCTCCCACCTCAGCCTCCTAAGTAGCTGAGACTACACCTGCCTGGCTAATTTTTGTATTTTTTGTAGAGATGGAGTTTTGCCACGTTGCCCAGGCTGTTCTCAAACTCCTGGACTCAAGGGATCCACCAGCCTCAGCCTCCCAAAGTGCTAGGATTGCAGGTGTAAACCACCATGCTATGAATTACTAGCTTCCCAACAAGGAACAACATTTTAAACCACTAATGAGGGATCATAAGATATACATTTTTAACCCAATGATTTTATTTCCTCATAAAGTAAAATAGCAAAAGTTGGCTCAGAGAAGTGCCATATCTGGACTAAGTTCTTTTCTCGTCCATCTTTCTGATTCTCTCTTTGTGTTTATCCTCATTGTGCTGTCAACTAGGTATGTAAATCTGAAAAGAAAGTTCCAGAATGGCATTCTAGTTCCTATCCCCATAGAAATGTCACTATTCTCTGATATCTGGGGCCTTCAAGTTTATTACATATTAAAATGGTTAAGGTGACCTTGAACTCATCTTCCTACAACGCTGAAGGACCCTCGGAAGGATATAGCCCCTTCTCAAAGTATGTACCACCTGTATATTTTACTTAATCTAGGCTTCAATTGGAAGATTCTCATCCGACTCTACTTATTCATCTTACTAGGTTTGTTTGTTTGTTTGTTTGTTTTTGAGATGGAATCTCACTCTTGTTGCCCAGGCTGGAGTGCAGTGGTGTGATCTCGGCTCACTGCAATCTCCATCTCCTGGGTTCAAGCGATTCTCCTGCCTCAGTCTCCTGAGTAGCTGGGACTACAGGTGCCCACCACCACCCCTGGCTAATTTTGTATTTTTAGTAGAGATGGGGTTTCACCATGTTGGTCAGGCTGTTCTCGAACTCCTGACCTCAGGTGATCCACTCGCCTCGGCCTCCCAAAGTGCTGGGATTACAGGCATGAGTCACCGCGCCCGGCCTAGGATTTTTAAAATAGTCCATCATCTGCTTTCTGCCACTGCTTTACTGATTTGTTCTTGTTATATCCATCCTTGACCTACTTGCCAAGCCAAAGGACACTTTTCTGTTCTCGTCCTACTTCACTTCTCTGCATCATTTGTTCTTGTTGACCAATTTCACTTCATTGACACTGTCACTTCCATCTACTTGGCTTTTAAGCAGGCTTTCCTGAGTGTGTGACCTGTGCAATCCATAGGGCCCTGCACTCAGAGTCCCATGCTTATATCGGCTATCATCAACCTGAAATGCTTAATATTTTTGAACAAGAGGCCCTGCAAAGTCTCTTGCCAGTCCTGTTTTTAGGATATACTTTGTTTTGGTTTTTTTACTACTGTTCTAAGCGTTCTTTACCCATCTCCTCTATGGATCTCTCTTTTTCTGCGTGAATGCCAGTATTACCAACTTCCACCTCTGTGGCCTTCTTTCTATCCTGTACATTCCCCTTTGGTAATATCTAACTACAATTATAGTTTTTTGACTGCCTCTAAGTCATTTACCCATATTTCTGTGTCTCTCACCCAGGCCTGTGATTCTATTTCCTAAATATTTCTTTCCCTTCCTTTTTATTCCATTGCTACTGCCATTAATTAAGGCTAGTCATCACTTCTCTCTACAATACTGCAGTACTCTTCTAACTCATTTTCCTAATTCCAGTCTTGCCTCCTAATCCACCCACCACCAGGATCCCTCCCTTGCATGAACCTTGCTCCATACTCCAACCTTCCCACAACAGTAAGTATTCTTTCTAAAACAGTTTTATGATTTTACATTCTTTGAAATTTTCTGTTTTCTGTTGTTTTTTTTTTTCTTGAGATGGAGTCTTGCTCTGTTGCCCAGGCTGGAGTGCAGTGGCGCAATCTTGCCTCACTGCAACCTCCACCTCCCGGGTTCAAGAAATTCTCTGCCTCAGCCTCCCAAGTAGCTGTGACTACAGGCATCCGCCACCACGCCCAGCTAATTTTTGTATTTTTAGTAGAGACAAGGTTTCACCATCTTGGCCAGGCTGGTCTTGAACTCCTGACCTCGTGATCCGCCCGCCTCGGCCTCTCAGAGTGCTGGGATTACAGGCGTGAGCCACCACGCCTGGCCCAAATTTTCTATGTTGTCAATATAAATATCCAAACTCCTTAAAATGAAACACAAAGACCTCCTATTATGAGCCAACTCTTGCCAATTTTTTCCAACTAATTTCTGGCCACATCACTACTAATCCATCAGTCACTGTGATTGCCTTAAGTGCATTGCTTGTGTGCACAGTCTGAATCTGTAGCACCAATGTAGCACTTGACACAAAAGATTCCCTAAACATGTTATTGAGATGAACGAATGATGTCAGCTTGTATCAGCATTTTATATTTTATATTCAAGATGATAAATCCTAGAAAATCAAAATGAGTATGATGCTGCAGCCAGTTTTCCTGCGTGTCATAATGTATTCCTTATATAGGTGTACATCTCAATCACTTAAAATAGTTGAAATTTGTGTAATGAAACTTCCATCTTTGAAATCTTACTAAAACTCACCACTGGATTATAAATGAGCCATTTTGTCTTTGTGTTTTACATGACTCTAAGGATCTTACCAGGAATCCCTGTTGAAGACAATCTGACTGTTGTCCAAACTGTAAGAAAGATAATATCTCCTATGAGATCCCTCCTCTTCTATCAGTGCCATTGCCTTTCTCTCCATACTCAGGTGTACAGTGCCCTTTTTTAGGCTCTGAAATGTACAGCCCTTCATCCTAAACACTGTATTTCCAACATTTTTGCTCCCCTACCCCCAAATAGAATTTTGCAAAGACAATAATTCCTTCACATAAAGTCGATATTCATCTTTCATTATAACTTTAGATACAAAGGGTCTAAATCTGACGTTGAATAAACATAACTCATACATTACTCTTTTAAATGTATCCAACACAAATTTTATATCCTAGTGATTTGATGTTCCCCATCATCCATTTAAAAACGCATGTACAGGCTGGGCGCAGTGGCTCACTCCCATAGTCCCAACACTTTGGGAGGCTGAGATGGGTAGATCACTTGAGCCCAGGAGTTCGAGACCAGTCTGGACAACATGGAGAAACACTGTCTTTACAAAAAACAAACAAACAAAAAAACAAAAACAAAAATTAGCCAGGTGTGATGGTGTACACCTGTGGTCCCAGCTACCTGGGAGGCTGAAGCAGGAGGATCACTTGAGACCAGGAGGTCAAGGCTGCAGTGAGCTGTGATTGTGCCACTGCATTCCAGCCCAGGTGACAGCCCTATCTCAAAAAAGTTTAAAATTTAAAAAATTTAAAAATAAAGACACATGTACAAATCTTTTTTAACAATTGGAAATTTTATATCATTCCTGTATTTCCGTAACCTTCTGTTTCATTTCACTTCATCCATAGAAGTTTATCCTAGTATAAAACAGTTTATATACTTGAAAGTTTTTGTCATATTTCTTTACAGTAAAAATATGTAGGCCGGGTGCAGTGGCTCAAGCCTGTAATCCCAGCACTTTGGGAAGCGAAGGCAGGCAGATCACCAGAGGTCAGGAGTTCGAGACCAGCCTGGCCGATATGGTGAAACCCTGTCTCTACTAAAATACAAAAATTAGCTGGGCGTGGTGGCGGGTGCCTGTAGTCCCAGTTACTTGGGAAGCTGAGGCAGGAGAATCGCTTGAACCCAGGAGGCAGAGGTTGCAGTGAACAGAGATCATGCCACTGCACTCCAGCCTGGGCAACATGTCTCTCAAAAAAAGTATATATTGAAATTAAACCTTTCTGGCTGGGTGTGGTGGCTCACACCTGTAATCCCAGTGCTTTGGGAGGCCGAGGCAGACAGACCTGAGGTCAGGAGTTCGAGACCAGCCTGGCCAACATGGTGAAGCCCCACCTCTACTAAAAATACAAAAAATTAGCTGGGCGTGCTGGCAGGCACCTGTAATCCCAGCTACTCGGAAGGCTGAGGCAGGAGAATCGTTTGAACCCAGGAGGCAGAGGCTGCAGCGAGCCGAGATTGTGCCACTGCACCCCAGCCTGGGCAACAAGAGCGAAACTCCATCTCAAAAAAAAAAAAAAAAATAGAAAAGAAAAAAGAAATTAAACATTTCTGTTTTCTGTGACCATAGACTCTAAGTATTAAACTTTCTTAAAGATTGAATTGTACAAGTATTGATTCATAATTGATGAAGAAGACAAAAATAAAATGGTACGTTTTGATGAATATTAAGTGATAAAATTTATTCAAGTGTCACTTCTCCATAAGATTTCTGGAGTTTTAAAAAATTAATTCACAGCTGAATGTTACTTATAGTTGGAATAAAACAACATTCCACAAAAATATACACATGGAAGAGGAGAGGAACTGTGTTTACATAAATAAATAGAGATAGAATTTTGTTATAGCAATGCCATTTGGTTATTTAAACTTCTAAGGTCATATATTAAACATTACATAGCGATCTATCACACAAAAAAAATGTGTTTTAAGTGATCGAGCAACTGACTATTCAACTATTTCCTCCTATTTTGTTGTAAACAATTGACTTGCCAAAGCATTTATGACCCAGCTTTTGGAGTCCTTCACTCTCTCAGTTTCTAGGAAGTATACCAAAGGCTTTACCAAAATGTATCAAATGACTATTAATAAAACCTATTATTCCTTCACTCTAGAGGAAACTTCTTTAACCCAGCAGGCTCAAAAAGGATTGAGAAAATTAAAATATTGTTTATGTCAATAACTTTTCCAATAAAATATATTTTGACATTTAGAAATCTTAGGTACTTTTGATTTTTTTGTCAAAATTTCGAGTTGCAGATTTCAGTTGTTCCATGGAAGGACAATGTCCACTGTGTAACTCAATAAGACACTTTTCACTGTCAAACTAGTCAGCCTAATCAGATATTCTATCCAAAAAGTCCTAACTTTATTTTCCAGTTCAGCAATATATGTGTCTCTGTGATAACAAGCTCACTTCTAAGACAGAGCACAGAATGAAGCCTTAATGTGCATCTGTCTTTTGCTAACAGATTTCAACAATGTCATATTCATTGTTTCTTACTGACATTCTCTCTTCTTGGCTCTAAGAGGACTCTCCATTCTTAGTCTAAATAATAAGTTTTTCTTGCACTTTCATTAGGAGAAGGAACTTTTCTGTAGTAATACAGCTCCCAGAATACCTTTCACCGAAGCAATTCCTAAAGGGGTGTGTCTTATGGTGCAAGATTGCTGAAAGTCCCGGAATTGAATTACACAACCATATTCTGAGACAGTCACAGGATTGGTTGTTTTTTTTTTTTTAATTCCTACTTCCTGAAACTGAAGCCGTTTATGAGAAACAGTGTGTTTCAGAGAGGCTGTACCAGAATTAACTCTGCTCAGAGTTAGATTTGCTGGTCTTAAAGTACTTTTCCTCTTTAAGATAAAAGTGAGTATCATCCTTTAAATGACAAAACGCAGTAGATGGCATAATATATGAGGAAGTATTTGTCTTAAGTGTTGACTCAGTTTCCATCTGCTGATCTTGTTTATATTTAAATAACTTTAGAGCTCTAAGAACCTTTGCACTTCTATAATAGAAACTTTCCAGAAAGGGGAGGATGAGTTGGTGGGGTGAAGGGGGTGGAGTGGGGAAGGGGAGGGAGAGAAGGGAAAAGTTACCTACAATGGTAAACTGTAGTCATTATGAAGGGGAGAAGGCAAACCAGTTTTTCATAAGGTTTTAATAACAAGTTTCTTAAGTCACTGAGCTTCTGGTCTTGTCACTTAACTGAGATGTTTAATTAAAGGATTGTTAGGATTATTTGTTTAAAAAAAAACTCTATGACTTTTGCCTGGAATACATAGGTAATAATAGAAACTACCACTTTTATGACAGCATCAGTAATTTTGCTAGGAAACAGGTAGATAAGGCACGAGACTTACTCGTCTCATATGGGTGAATTGACGGGAATTCTGAGTGCGTGGAAGCATTGTTTAGAGACAAAGCATCCAGAAAAATTAAATTCCTTTGCATGTCTATTTAGAAAAATCCTTTAATTAAAAAATTCTAGTGTTTGAAATTAGTACTTTAGAGTACTTTGAAAAGCCACAAATTAAAACCTTTAAGATGGTTTGGGATTTGAGGATGGGTGAGGGTACAAACAGGCAGGATCAGGAAGGAGAGGACTTTATGCCACAATATAATAGCATCTCTGCTTGCGATATATATTTCTCTCTCTCTCTGTCTCTCTCTCTCTCCCTTTTACTTTCTTTTTACTTTGTGCCACTAATTCTCTTATAAGAAACAATATCCATTTAATTTGGGGTATAATTTATGCACTTGGGATACACTCTAGTCTCTAGAACCAATGTCAAGTCCAGTCCTTGTCTGCTGACCGAAACAATTTACTTCTCTCTTCCCACCTCCTTCCCACCCCATCAACCTCAAGCCTCAAGAGAAACAAAATACTTAAACTTATTTTAGAAATAACTTATTCCCCATATCAAAGATCTTTTAAATCTGAGATGAATCTCTCAAATTTCTTCCGCCAAGAAGACACCAAAATTGTATAGCATCTCTATCTGCATGAGTAGGAAGCCAATAATTACTTTAAACTTTTCAAAATCTATTTTAAACTGTAAAGAAAAGGCATGTGTAAATTATGATGGATATTAGGCATTATCATATATAATAATACTGTGATGAGCTTTGCTGATGTGTTAAGCTGTAACAATACCTCCCAGCAAGTGCCATGTGATCTAGGTTTGGATTTAGAGCCTGAAGTTTTCCTTAAGAATAAGTTTGTGCATTTCAAGATATTTCTGAAATTCCATGGCTCCTTCTATTCCAAACAATTTTACTGATCCCTTTCCCATGAACACAAGGCATGAATTGCTTTTATTATTCTCTAATCTATTGCAGAGAATGATGGCTTTTTGGCATAAGCTGTTCATTGTAAATGATTTTCTTTCTTGAAATTTTGAATATCTATGGATTGAAGAACTCTTAAAGGAATGAGCATTTAAACTTTTGGTGAAAATATATTCCATATTTTTGTTTTTTTTGTATTTTGTATTGTATTTGTTGCCTCTCTATATGGGGGAGTCTTTGTTTCTTGTTATTGATGGTGACAACTGTTTTTGCAGAATGTTGTAATATGCTTTATTTATAGAGAACTGTGGGATAGACAAACTTAAAAGAAAGAATATTATCTGGTGCTATCATTCTTCTATGTCTGAAGAAAAGAAGAGATGATTATAACTTAAATATCAGATACATACAAATACAACTTTTCCTAAGTATGGTATACATGCTACTGATTTTAGGCAGTACATGTCTAAACTTCAAAATTTTGAGTTATTTGCTAGCTTAATATAAATTAACATAATTTGCTTATAAAACCTAGAATTTCATGAATACTGTTGTTCAGGAAAGTGTTAAGTAAGAAGTTGAGCTAATTTACTATTGATTTTAAGGAAATGATTAAATAAATAATATTACAGGTAATCTGCAGATTTGGCAAAAATTATGAAGATGGCATGCAAATGGCTAAAGTTTCAGACATGCTACACTAATGCATTTGAGAAGTGGATATTTTCTTAGCCAGTGCAGTATCTTTGAATTTTACTGGGCCTTGGTTACAGAGCTCAGTTGACAATGCAATCTGTTCAATTTCCTAAGTATAGATGTACAAAGTATTTGACAGAGAAATATTTTATCAAACGTTTATCACACCTGTAGCCTAATAAACTATTATATTTCCTCGTAAATTATCATATAATTGAAGGGATGCAGAAGATAGCCAATACTTTTTCAAATAAGAGTGATAGAAAGGGTGAAATGTCTCAGCTTGAATACTACAGGTTCATTCTGCTTGTTTCACTGAACTTCTGAACTCAGGGGCCAGGGGGGACTTTAAACATTATCTAGATCAAGGGCTACTAATGGGTCATAGTATGTGCCAATGGCTATATGCAATAATTTCATTTCTGGGAATCCATCCTAAGGGGGAAATAATTCTAGACAAGGGAAAAATTCGCAAACATGTTCATCATAAAGTCGTAATAACAAATAATTGCAAGCATTCTCATAAAAGGGGGAGGTTAAGCAAAAGATACTGTACCCATAAAACATGATAGGATAAAAAATAGTACCAGCACAGAAAATACTAAGTGAAAAACAGACTCAGGATTGAATAACTTGTATGCATGCAAGTATTTACATAAAATGGTATAGATATAAATTCAGAAATATTCTAAAAGTGATTGTTGTCTTACAGTGATAGATTCTTTCCCTTCCTTCTATTTCTTTCTACATAACATGATATTCTTACAAAAAATTTTTAAATTATTATATAATATACTTATATCTTTTTTGAGAAAACAAATATAGTTTATTAAATAGAACTATATTGCTAATAATATATAGTAAATAAAACTATGCAGCTTTGGAAGATAAAAGTTTTTCCTTCTTTTTATTTGGCATACAAATAACCAGCTATGTGAAAGAAGAGAGGACGGAGTCTCAGTGCTAGGAACAAACAGGTGCAGCGGAGTCAGTGAACAGAGAAGGAAATACCAGTTGAAACACTTACTATTGGTTCATTTTTCTTGTGTTGATTGCTTCTCTGTCAACTGTAGCTTTTACTTCAGTCTAATAATTCTTTTGGCTTAAAGATAAAAAAAAAAAAGGCAGGGAAGGGGGAATGGAAATTTGGCCTGACCTGTGTGCAAATAACCTCTTAACTCATTTCTTGTTCTTATGGATTTCCATATTTTGGATTTAGTAATTTATATCTGCACATATTGTACTTATATTCAATTTTGTCATGTCTTTGTATATACTCCTACTGCACCTCAAAATGCACTGTGTCATTGGCTCACCAGCACTGCTTTGACCTTAACCCCAGCACATCTGGTTACTGTGGTGCATTCTCCATCAGTGCATAATATGCACCCAAAATATCTGCAGAATTGCCAGCAAAAGCCTTGTCCATTCATAATTACCTTTTTTTCTACAAAAAAAAAATTTAGAACCTCATCATGTGTCCTTTTAGTTGGCATTTCTTCACAGTAACTTCAGCTCTAATTAAAGTTTGGACACTGCTGGTCAGCCCGTCATCATTTTCCAAGATAACTATATCATTACCGAGAAATTTTCTTCCCTGAGGTCATGCCCCAAATAATTATTGTGAAAGATAATAAACTGTAAGTGGTAACATCTCTTTTGATATATTAATGTATTAGGTTTGACATACACTTCTGAAGATTGCAGGTTACTCAATAAGCAACATTTGAAGACCTTTGAGCCCAGATTTCCTGTTACTCTAAACCTACCCTCTTCCTTGGGACATGAGAAACTTGGTTTAGGCTTCTGAAGGCGCAGCTTGCCAGGGCAGCTCAGCAACTGTTAGAAGCGCCCTTACTGTGTTAATTCCATGCTATACAGACTCCTGCACCATTATGTAGATAAGGTTAGGCTCTCCTTCTAGCTTTCTGCTCTTTCTAGCTCTCTGTGGGGTCTTCTTGGGGCACATCCCTTGAATATATTTTCACTCAGTAAAGTGACCTCTGATCACCTTATTCCCAAGCACATGTTCTCACCAGAATGTTCAACAAGCACTTGTGATAGAGACTTGTAGGAAGAGAAATCCTCTGGGGCATTTGATACATGGGATACAGAAGATACCGTATATTCTGTATCAGCAGTCTCACATTTTATTTACTTATTTATTTATTTATTTGACAGGGTCTCACTCTGCTGCCCAGGCTGGAGTGCAGTGATGTGATTGTGATCACGGCTCATTGCAAGTTCTACGTCCTGGGCTAGGCTCACATTTTAGAGCCTGAGTGAGCTATCGACTTACAGATGCATTTTCACCCCATATCCTCCCATCATCCAATTACAGTGTCTTTGTGGACAACTGAACCTTCACTCGATGACCTCTCTCTCCAAAACCCTTCTCCTCCCTCACCACTGACTCTCAGATTCACATCCTGGAGCTTACAGTCCCTGAGACAGGGTCTAGCTCTCAAATTTTATACTTCAGTATCCAACTCCCTAAAAAACAGCCCTCTTTCTTCATCTCTGCTTTCATTAGCCCATCTGTCAAGACCTCTAGGTGCTGGTCCCTGCCCTCATTTCTCCCAGTCACCATTCCTCTGAGCCATCACTTACCTGTTCCCACAGGCCCCTCAGTCCTTAAGCATAATTACTAAGCACAATCGTAAGTGCTTAATAAAGGATAAAGCCTAAAGGCTTCTGGAGAAAACTCCACACAATTAATGACACTAAAATTCTTGGTCACACTCTCAGCTGGACCCTTGGTGCTACCTGGAGATCCCTCTACTTGTTGATGGGCAGCTTCCCGGGCCACTCCTCTCAGGTACTCTACTGAAGGTTTTTCATTCTCCTCAAGCTCCAGTTCTGCCACCTCACTTCTTACTCTCAGCCCAAAAGCAGGTAACTCCATCAACTTCCTTCCTCCCCCTCCCCTGCCCTCTACTTAAAAACCTCACGCAACCAGAGCACCTCTGCCTTTTTCCTGTCTGTTTCAGTAAAAAGTGTGTCCTGCCTCCCCAAGGCAAGGCAAACCAATCCTTACAACTGGAGTCTGTCCCCTTCCTTTTTCCTCTTTCAGGAGGACGCTGCCTTCTCAGCCCTCTGCTGCGGCAGTAAGCATGCTTAAGTGTGAGTATCCTGAAAAAAGCAAGCAAACAAACAAACAAACAAACCCCTTTTTGCAGCTACATCCCTCTTGGTCTACTTCCCTTTCTCTCCTGTGCCTCTCAGCCACATTCCTCCATAGACAAGCCTCTACTCCTCGGCTCCATTTCTTCACCTTTTACTTCTACCTCCCTGCAATCTGGCATTTGCCCTGAACTTACTTACATTCATGTATCAGAGGCTTCCCAGGAGACAAACACAAAGGCTGCTTTTTAGACTTTATTTTCTCTGTCTCTCTTTCTAAAATTATGACACTATTATGATACTAACACTTTTTCTCTAAATTCCCTCCTTTGGTTTCCATATCACCTTGAGTGATCTTCCTGCCACATCTGATCTTCTGATCTTCCTCCCACATCTCTGGCTGCTCTTACTTCTCTATTCTCTTTCTCTGCCCCATTATACATGTTAGATTCTGTTCTCTACCCTCTTTCTCTCTTACTGTGTGTTCACCTTGGATGTACTTAACACTAATATATTAAAGGCCCTGCCATTCCTCTCCCTGAGTCTAGACTCCTATCCAAATGCCTACTTACCATTTCTACTCTGTATTCCACAGGCATCTCACTTCTAACATTTTCAAAATTGGATTCATCATTTACTGCCTCCACCAGTAATTTTTATATTGCTATCTGGCACTAAAATTCACCCCAAATTCAGCCAAGCCAAAAACTTTGAAGTCACCCTAGATGTCTTTTTTATTTAATCAACAATAGCTAATCAATTTTGAAGTCACACTGATTCCATTCTCTGAATGTCTTTTGAATCTACCATATCGATCCATTCTCACTTGGTTCAGGCCATCAGCATCCTGCACCATACCGTGATCTCCTCCGTCTCTAGTCTGGGTGCAGGGCTGTTTTTGAACAATTTGTATCAGATCATGCTGTTCAGATGCCTCCTTTTCTGAGCACATATCTTTATAGCCTTCTTGATCTCCCAGCGACATGCTTCCCCAGCCACATCTTTTTTTTTTTTAATCATACTTTAAGTTCTAGGGTACATGTGCACAACATGCAGGTTTGTTTCTAGGGTACATGTGCACAACATGCAGGTTTGTTATATATGTATACATGTGCTGTGTTGGTGTGCTGCACCCATTAACTCGTCATTTACATTAGGTATATCTCCTAATGCTATCCCTCCCCCATTCCCCAACCCCACTACAAGCCCCGGTGTGTGATGTTCCCCTTCCTGTGTCCAAGTGTTCTCATTGTTCAGTTCCCACCTATGAGTGAGAACATGGGGTGTTTGGTTTTTTGTCCTTGCGATAGTTTGCTGAGAATGATGGTTTCCAGCTTCATCCAGGTCCCTATAAAGGACATGAACTCATCCTTTTTTATGGCTGCATAGTATTCCATGGTGTATATGTGCCACATTTTCTTAATCCAGTCTATCATTGATGGACACTTGGATTGGTTCCAAGTCTTTGCTATTGTGAATAGTGCCACAATAAACATACGTGTGCATGTGTCTTTATAGCAGCATGATTTATAATCCTTTGGGTATATACCCAGTAATGGGATGGCGGGGTCAAATGGCATTTCTAGTTCTAGATCCTTGAGAAAATGCCACACTGTCTTCCACAATGGTTGAACTAGTTTACAGTCCCACCAACAGTGTAAAAGTGTTCCTATTTCTCCACATCCTCTCCAGCACCTGTTGTTTCCTGACTTTTTAATGATTGCCATTCTAACTGGTGTGAGATGGTACCTCATTGTGGTTTTCATTTGCATTTCTCTGATGGCCAGTGATGATGAGCATTTTTTCATGTGTCTGTTGGCTGCATAAATGTCTTCTTTTGAGAAGAGTCTGTTCATATCCTTCACCCACTTTTTGATGGGGTTGTTTGTTTTTTTCTTGTAAGTTTGTCCAAGTTCTTTGTAGATTCTGGATATTAGCCCTTTGTCAAATAAGTAGATTGCAAAAATTTTCTCCCATTCTGTAGGTTGCCTGTTCACTCTGATGGTAGTTTCTTTTGCTGTGCAGAAGCTCTTTAGTTTAATTAGATCCCATTTGTCAATTTTGGCTTTTATTCCATTGCTTTTGGTGTTTTAGACATGAAGTCCTTGCCCATGCCTATGTCCTGAATGGTAATGCCTAGGTTTTCTTCTAGGGTTTTTATGGATTTAGGTCTAACGTTTAAGTCTTTAATCCATCTTGAATTAATTTTTGTGTAAGGTGTAAGGAAGGGATCCAGTTTCAGTTTTCTACATATGGCTAGCCAGTTTTCCCAGCACCATTTATTAAATAGGGACTCCTTTCCCCATTTCTTGTTTTTGTCAGGTTTGTCAAAGATCAGATGGTTGTAGAGGTGTGGTATTATTTCTAAGGGCTCTGTTCTGTTCCATTGATCTATATCTCTGTTTTGGTACCAGTACCATGCTGTTTTGGTTACCGTAGCCTTGTAGTATAGTTTGAAGTCAGGTAGCATGATGCCTCCAGCTTTGTTCTTTTGGCTTAGGATTGTCTTGGTGATGTGGGCTCTTTTTTGGTTCCATATGAACTTTAAAGTAGTTTTTTCCAATTCTGTGAAGAAAGTCATTGGTAGCTTGATGGGGATGGCATTGAATCTATAAATTACCTTGGGCAGTATGGCCATTTTCACGATATTGATTCTTCCTATCCATGAGCATGGAATGTTCTTCCATTTGTTTGTGTCCTCTTTTATTTCATTGAGCAGTGGTTTGTAGTTCTCCTTGAAGAGGTCCTTCACATCCCTTGTAAGTTGGATTCCTAGGTATTTTATTCTCTTTGAAGCAATTGTGAATGGAAGTTCACTCATGATTTGGCTCTCTGTTTGTCTGTTATTGGTGTATAAGAATGCTTGTGATTTTTGCACATTGATTTTGTATCCTGAGACTGCAGACGTTGCCTATCAGTTTAAGGAGATTTTGGGCTGAGACGATGGGGTTTTCCAGATATACAGTCACGTCATCTGCAAACAGGGACAATTTGACTTCCTCTTTTCCTAATTGAATACCCTTTATGTCTTTCTCCTGCCTGACTGCCCTGGCCAGAACTTCCAACATTATGTTGAATAGGAGTGGTGAGAGAAGGCATCCCTGTCTTGTGCCAGTTTTCAAAGGGAATGCTTCCAGTTTTTGCCCATTCAGTATGATATTGGCTGTGGGTTTGTCATAGATAGCTCTTATTATTTTGCAATACATCCCATCAATACCTAATTTATTGAGAGTTTTTAGCATGAAGGGCTGTTGACTTTTGTCAAAGGCCTTTTCTGCATCTATTGAGATAATCATGTGGTTTTTGTCTTTGGTTCTATTTATATGCTGGATTACATCTATTGATTTATGTATGTTGAACCAGCCTTGCATCCCAGGGATGAAGCCCACTTGATCATGGTGGATAAGCTTTTTGATGCACTGCTGGATTTGGTTTGCCAGTATTTTATTGAGGATTTTTGCATCGATGTTCATCAGGGATATTGGTCTAAAATTCTCTTTTTTTGTTGTGTCTCTGCCAGGCTTTGGTATCAGGATGATGCTGGCCTCATAAAATGAGTTAGGGAGGATTCCCTCTTTTTCTATTGATTGGAATAGTTTCAGAAGGAATGGTACCAGCCCCTCTTTGTACCTCTGGTAGAATTCCGCTGTGAATCTGTCTGGTCCTGGACTCTTTTTGGTTGGTAAGCTATTAATTATTGCCTCAATTTCAGAGCCTGTTATTGGTCAATTCAGGGATTCAACTTCTTCCTGGTTTAATCTTGGGAGGGTGTATGTGTCGAGGAATTTATCCATTTCTTCTAGATTTTCTAGTTTATTTGCATAGAGGTGTTTATAGTATTCTCTGATGGTAGTTTGTATTTCTGTGGGATCGGTGGTGATATCCCCTTTATCATTTTTTATTGCATCTATTTGATTCTTCTCTCTTTTTTTCTTTATTAGTCTTGCTAGTGGTCTATCAATTTTGTTGATCTTTTCAAAAAACCAGCTCCTGGATTCATTGATTTTTTTGAAGGGTTTTTTGTGTCTCTATCTCCTTTAGTTCTGCTCTGATCTTAGTTATTTCTTGCCTTCTGCTAGCTTTTGAATGTGTTTGCCCTTGCTTCTCTAGTTCTTTTAATTGTGATGTTAGGATGTCAATTTAAGATCTTTCCTGCTTCCTCTTGTGGGCATTTAGTGCTATAAATTTCCCTCTACACTCTACTTTAAATGTGTCCCAGAGATTCTGGTATGTTGTGTCTTTGTTCTCATTGGTTTCAAAGAACATCTTTATATCTGCCTTCATTTCATTATGTACCCAGTAGTCATTCAAGAGCAGGTTGTTCAGTTTCCATGTAGTTGAGCGGTTTTGAGTGAGTTTCTTAATCCTGAGTTTTAGTTTGATTGCACTGTGGTCTGAGAGACAGTTTGTTATAATTTCTGTTCTTTTACATTTGCTGAGGCTTGCTTTACTTCCAACTATGTGGTCAGTTTTGGAATAAGTGTGATGTGGTGCTGAGAAGAATGTATATTCTGTTGATTTGGGGTGGAGAGTTGTGTAGATGTCTATTAGGTCCGCTTGGTGCAGAGCTGAGTTCAATTCCTGGATATCCTTTTTAACTTTCTGTCTCGTTGATCTGTCTAATGTTGACAGTGGGGTGTTAAACTCTCCCGTTATTATTGTGTGGGAGTCTAAGTCTCTTTGTAGGTCTCTAAGGACTTGCTTTATGAATCTGGGTGCTCCTGTATTGAGTGCATATATATTTAGGATAGTTAGCTCTTCTTGGTGAATTGATCCCTTTACCATTATGTAATGGCCTTGTCTCTTTTGATCTTTGTTGGTTTAAAGTCTGTTTTATCAGAGACTAGGATTGCAACCCCTGCCTTTTTCTGTATTCCATTTGCTTGGTAGATCTTTCTCCATCCCTTTATTTTGAGCCTATGTGTGTCTCTGCACATGAGATGGGTCTCCTGAATACAGCACACTGATGGGTCTTGACTCCTTATCCAATTTGCCAGTCTGTGTCTTTTAATTAGAGCATTTAGCCCATTTACATTTAAGGCTAATATTGTTATGTGTGAATTTGACCCTGTCATTATAATGTTAGCTGGTTATTTTGCTCATTAGTTGATGCAGTTTCTTCCTAGCATTGATGGTCTTTACAATTTGGCATGTTTTTGCAGTGGCTGGTACTGGTTTTTCCTTTCCATGTTTCGTGCTTCCTTCAGGAGCTCTTTTAGGGAAGGCCTGGTGGTGACAAAATCTCTCAGCATTTGCTTGTCTGTAAAGGATTTTATTTCTCCTTCACTTATGAAGCTTAGTTTGGCTGAAAATGAAATTCTGGGTTGAAAATTCGTTTCTTTAAGAATGTTGAATATTGGCCCCCACTCTCTTCTGGCTTGTAGAGTTTCTGCCGAGAGATCAGCTGTTAGTCTGATGGGCTTCCCTTTGTGGGTAACCCAACCTTTCTCTCTGGCCGCCCTTAACATTTTTTCCTTCATTTCAACTTTGGTGAATCTGACAATTATGTGTCTTGGAGTTGCTCTTCTCAAGGAGTATCTTTGTGGCTTTCTCTGTATTTCCTGAATTTGAATGTTGGCCTGCCTTGCTAGGTTGGGGAAGTTGTCCTGGATAATATCCTGCAGAGTGTTTTCCAACTTGGTTCCATTCTCCCCGTCACTCTCAGGTACACCAATCAGACATAGATTTGGTCTTGTCACATAGTCCCATATTTCTTGGAGGCTTTATTCATTTCTTTCTACTCTTTTTTCTCTAAACTTCTCTTTTCACTTCATTTCATTCATTTGATCTTCAATCACTGATACCCTTTCTTCCAGTTGATCGAATCGGCTACTGAAACTTGTGCATTCATCACATATTTCTTGTTCCATGGTTTTCAGCTCCATCAGGTCATTTAAGGACTTCTCTACACTGGTTATTCTAGTTAGCCATTCGTCTAATCTTTTTTCAAGGTTTTTAGCTTCTTTGCAATGGGTTCGAACTTCCTCCTTTAGCTCAGAAAAGTTTGATCGTCTGAAGCCTTCTTCTCTGAACTCGTCAAAGTCATTGTCCATCCAGCTTTGTTCTGTTGCTGGAGAGGAGCTGCGTTCCTTTGGAGGGGGAGGGGCGCTCTGATTTTTAGAATTTTCAGCTTTTCTGCTCTGTTTTTTCCCCATCTTTGTGGTTTTATCTACCTTTGGTCTTTGATGATGGTGACGTACAGATGGGGTTTTGGTGTGGATGTCCTTTCTGTTTGTTAGTTTTCCTTCTAACAGTCAGGACCCTCAGCTGCAGGTCTGTTGGAGTTTGCTGGAGGACCACTCCAGACCCTGTTTGCCTGGGTAACAGCAGCAGAGGCTGCAGAACAGCAAATATTGCTGAACAGCAAATGTTGCTGCCTGATCGTTCCTCTGGAAGCTTCATCTCAGAGGGGTACCTGGCCGTGTGAGGTGTCAGTCTGCCCTTACTGGAGGGTGCCTCCCAGTTAGGCTACTTGGGGGTCAGGGACCCACTTGAGGAGGCAGTCTGTCTGTTCTCAGATCTCAAACTCCGTGCTGGGGCAACCACTACTCTCTTCAAAGCTGTCAGACAGGGACATTTAAGTCTGCCGAGGTTTCTGCTGCCTTTTGTTCAGCTATGCCCTGCCCCCAGAGGTAGAGTCTGCAGAGGCAGGCAGGCCTCCTTGAGCTACGGTGGGCTCCACCCAATTTGAGCTTCCAGGCTGCTTTGTTTAGCTACTCAAGCCTCAGCAATGGCAGACGCCCCTCCCCCAGCCTCGCTGCCACCCTGCAGTTCGATCTCAGACTGCTGTGCTAGCAATGAGCGAGGCTCCGTGGGTGTGGGACCCTCCGAGCCAGGCGTGGGATATAATCTCCTCGTATGCCATTTGCTCAGTTGGAAATGCAGAAATCACCCGTCTTCTGCATTGCTCACGCTGGGAGCTGTAGACTGGAGCTGTTCCTATTTGGCCACCTTCCAGCCACATCTTTTATTCCTCTCCAATACCCCAGATGAAGCTAAACTTCAGTAGTGTCAAGTTACTTGTTTTTCCCAACCATGCCATACTCTTGTCACCACTATTACTTTTCTTGTTGCAAGACCATTTCCTTCGTTTGTGGCCTATTTTATTTCTAAGACCCAGCTCAAGCATCACTACCCCTGGGAAGACTTGACTTACATGACTGCTTTCTACTAAAGTCAGTGGCCACTTTGTCCTGTTAGGTTAGCCATTTCTTAGGACCCAGAGATTTTCTCTACTCAATAACTTATTGAAATAAATTGTGATGATTTCTTCATCTCTGTACACAACTAGCTCTTTTTGAAGATCAAGACTATATCTTTTTATCTCTGAATTCCCAGTACCTAGCCCAATGCATGACACATTGTAGGTGGACAATACAGATTTGCTAAATAAATAAAATTTCATGGATCTCTACTGTCCTGCTCAATTTTTTTTCTTTGAATGAGACTTACCACTGTTAAAACTCTCTAGCTCACAAGTGAAATTTTCCCCATGGGTTAAATTGAAAAATTAATTCATAAATTCATCAACATAACACTTGGAGAACTGCATCTATTTTCTTATAAGTATATAATAACACCTACTCAACTAGAGATGGTAGAAGGTTGTAACATTTGAGAGGCTCCAGATCCTTCCAGATGCCTCCTTTGATTTGGTGTTGCATAACAAAACAACACACCCTGAATATTTGCTCCATTTAAATATATTTAAAGAGTCCCAAAATGAATACCATAGATTCTGTATCAGCGGGTATGTGTTTTAAAGCAGGTTGTCCATAGCATGGCCAAGTTTTTGCTCTTGTTCTATCAGGTTATTTAAAAACAAGACTTTACTATCTATTCAAAATGACACCTGATCTAGGTTACCTTTATCAAGTGTAAATGGGAACCTGCAGTACAGGATGCTTTTAATATGATACATTGACTCCTTGTGTTAGTATCAGCTTTGTCTCTTCCTTGCTTTTTGGCCATGACCAAGTTAATCACTAATGGCCTTAATTTTCTCATCCATAACATGAGGATAACAACGTCCATTTTCCTTAAGTTTTTTTTGATAATTAAATGAGTTAATATATTAAGACCCTTATAGCAATGCTTGATAAAAACAAACAGTAGCCATTATTAAGTGCTATGTATATCCTACTGTAGCAGACCAGGCTGGCACTGATCCTTGGTCACTTGCTGCTGAACTTTGGGAGAGCGGAAGTAGCACTACAGAATCATAGAATCGAAAGGGACTTTAAAGACTTTAGCAAAAATCTCCAGCTTTAGAAAGGAGGAAACTGAGGTCTATCAGGGAAAGGTGACTTGCACAAGTTCACACGTAGCTGGTTTGTGATGGAGTCAGGATTAGAACCCAGGTTACCCAGTGTGCAACGAATACAAAAAAGCGCTCACTTGGAAGCAGGAGACTTACTGTGTGGTTGGGATCCACCATGAAGTGAATAGATCATAGGGTGGAGGAAATTCATGAGCAGGCAGTGTTTAAAGATGTAAGGAAGCAGCCCCCTTCCCCCACCCTAAATGACACTCTCATCTGTTCACCAGTGCTGAATAATGATAGTTAATAACAATAAGTGGCATGCATTATTCTTTAATAAGTATTTGTTAAGCTTGTTCTGTGTGTCAGCCTTTCTGTTACAATGCTTATATATATTATCTTAATACTCACTACAGTTTTATGAGTTGACTATTATTGGTAGCAGTATTTACTCAATAAATGGTAATGATTACTATTTCTACCTCCTTGCTATGCTAGGCTGTTAGCATGACTCCATCTCTCTACCTCAGGCTGCGCACTTAATCCATTCTAACCCTGCTGGTTACCAGAACTGCCAATTCTCTGTTTAGATCTACTTTGCCTAAGATGACACACTTGCCAGAGCACACTCTCCCAAGGACCTGAAGCTCTGTCTGTCCTTCAAGGTGCCTTCCTGACTTTCACAGCCAGCTCCAGGGGAGGTTCTAGCCTTACCCCACTCCCTCCTTCCGGCTATCAACTGCGCCATGCCTGCCCAATACCAAGATAGCAGAGATTTTTTCTAGGAAAGGGTTTTGATAAAGGTTAGCACTCACTGATGATGCTTGGCTATCGGGGTTAGTTGTTTGTGTTAAGTAGGTCGGGGCAGGCAGAGTGGTGAGGATGTCCAGCTTTAAAGTAAGGCTGAAAGAAAAACAGAAGATAGCACGTGTAGAAACATTACCAAGTTAACTGTAACATGAGTGAGAGGAAGCACACACACCAAAATACACACAGGGGGTCACAGTGTTTTTTTTCTAAATCATTTCTGAGTACACCTGGGCATCTCAATCTAGAGGCACAAAGACTGGTCAATTGTAGTCAGACAAAGAATACTTAGCTAAATTTTGAAAACTTATACTTTTTAAAACTTCATTATAAATACTATAGCTATACAAAGAAAAAATTGTAAAATATTCATAGTGCTTATTTCTTAGTAGGATCATAGATAATTCTTATGTTCTTTTATATATTATTTTTCTCCAAAATTTTTTTACAATAATACTGTTTTGCTTTCTAATGATACAATGTTTTAAAAATCTAGATTCTTTTTTTTTTTGAGATGGAGTCTTGCTCTGTCGCCCAGGCTGGAGTGCAGTGGCCTGATCTAGGCTCACTGCAAGCTCCGCCTCCCGGGTCACGTCATTCTCCTGCCTCAGCCTCGCGAGTAGCTGGGACTACAGGCACCCGCCACCACGCCTGGCTAATTTTTTGTATTTTTGGTAGAGACGGGGTTTCACCATGTTAGCCAGGATGGTCTCGATCTCCTAACCTCTTCATCCGCCCACCTCGGCCTTCCAAAGTGCTGGGATTACAGGCGTGAGCCTCCGCACCTGGCCTAGATTCTTAAAAATATATTAAAGACAAATACAGCATGGAGACTCTTTAAGATTTTAATGATTTAAATACTTCTTTATCTAGCCCTTGTCAGAAATCTGGAAACATTGAATAGGCTGGTAATACCTCTCGTTTGCAAGCCAGGAGTTATTTGTGAAAAAGGAAGTCACAGTGAAAGAACAGAAAAGCCTTAGTTATTATGCAACAGACAGGTTTCAGAAGTCCCACAGTGTCTCAACACAGTTATCACCCCAAGTCATAGTTGTCAGAAGAAAACCTTGTTAAGACTACAGCTGCCCATGCACAAATTGAAAGTGAACGGGAGGAAACCAAGCAGTTCCTTCCAGCCAAGTTCCTTCCACAAGGCATGGCCCTTCCGGTAACCCCAACTGCTCCTATTCAGCCTCTTTTGAATGCCCAGCTCATCAAGAGTTGGCCTTTCATTTCACTCTGCTGACAAGGTTCAGTCATTAACAAAGGCCAACCAGGGGTTCAATGTGAACTCAAGTGCAGATATCAAGTTACGGTTGAAAATATGCATCTGAAGTTTAAGGTGAAGTTTGGGCTGGAGACAGGAATTTGATGATTACCAATAAATATGTGGTATTTACAACCATGAACTGAATGAAGTCACCGAGGAATAGGTTTAGATGGAGAAAGGAAGATAGTTTGAGACTGAGCCTTTGCATACTCCAACATCAAGAGATCTAGAAGAAGAGGAGGAACCAGCCAAAAAGACTAAGGAGTGATCAGTAATACAGGAGGAAAACCAAGAGAGTATGGTTTCCTGGAACACAGCAGAGGAGGGAGGCTTTATGTCACATGTTTTTGGCACATCAACTAAGATAAGGAGTAAGAATTGACTGCTGGAGGCCGGGCATGGTGGCTCACGCCTGTAATCCCAACAGTTTGGGAGGCCGGGGCAGGTGAATCACTTGAGGTCAGGAGTTCGAGACCAGACTGCCCAACATGGTGAAAACCCATCTCTACTAAAAATACAAAAATTAGTCGGATATGGTGGCAAATGCCTGTAATCCCAGCTACTTGGGAGGCTGAGGCACAAGAATCGCTTGAACATGGGAGTTGGAGGTTGCAGTGAGTCAAGATTGCCTCATTGCACTCCAGCCTGGGTGACAGAGGGAGACTCCCATCTCAAAAAAAGTAATAATAAGAAGAATTGACGGCTGGATTTAGCAACATGGAGTTGATCAGTGACTTTGACAAAATTTGTTTCAGTGGCATAATGGGACAAAAGTCTAATTAGAATGCGTTTAAAAGAGAATGGGAAGAGAGAGGTTGGAAGCTCAAGTAGAGACAATTCTTTCAGGGAATTTTGCTAAAAAAGACAATAACTACTGATGAAAGTGAGATGAAGAGATTTTTCTTCTAAGATGAAAGAAATAATGGCATATTTGTAAACAGATAGGAATGAGCCAAAGGAGAGCAAAAGCTTGACGATGTAAAAGATTGAGAGAGGAAGAGGAGAGAAATACTGCTGCCCTTGAATAGAAACACAGTTGGACTTAGTGCCCAAATGGAGTGCTTGGTTTTAGATAAGAGCATGGGTGGTCCCTCTCTGATAGCAGAAGGGAAGACAGAGTATGGGATGCAGCTGCTGTTAGATTCGTAGAAGGGAGTGGGAGCCTGTGGAAGTCCTCGTCTGATGAGGATGAGGATGGAGGAAGAAGAGACAGCGTGAAATAGTCACCTAAGTGAGCAGAAGGTAAACGGATCATAAAAGTACAGTAAGGGTTCAGGAGTAGGATCCATAGAGGTCCCAGTGGGATTTTAGGATTGTTGGATTTTGGAGACTAAAAGGGGACAAGATGGGTAGTAGTGAATAGCGAGAGAGATTCGTGAATTTGAAAATCTGGAAGGGTTGCTGTGATTGATGATAACAAAATTTAGGCTGTATGACCATGGAAGTGAATGACTGAGGTTGTGTCAAGGACAACATCTTTGGAAGAAAGGATTTCAAGGAATGGAGAGTCCTGGATCATCACATGATTATTGAAATATCGAAGAATAAGAGTGATTTGGAGAGACCAAGTGATCCAGGAGCCAAAATGCCCTGAGAACTGGCAGCTGATAGCAACAATGAAGGGCAGTGGGATAATAGAATCTGGTGACATGAATTCCAAAGGTGGGGATAGGAGTGTGTGAAAGCAAGGTTCATAAGTGGCAGTTAAGAACAGGAGACCTCGACCTAGGATGGTGGTTTAGGGGCTGTAGGAGAATAAGCTGGCCTTTGAGAGGGTTATAGGAGAGTTGAAAAATGTAAATTACTGGGAAGAGTAATCCATTGCCTTTTTTTTTTTTTTTTTTTTTTTTGAGACAGTCTCACTCTGTTGCCCAGGCTGGAGTGCAGTGGCCTGATCTCGGCTCACTGCAACTTCCACTTCCTGGATTCAAATGATTCTCCTGCCTCAGCCTCCTGAGTAGCTGGGATTACAGGCACGCGCCACCACACCTGGCTAATTTTGTATTTTTAGTAGAGACAGGGTTTCACCATGTTTTGTCCAGACTGGTCTTGAACTCTTGACCTCACATGATCCACCTGCCTCAGCCTCCCAAAGTGCTGGGATTACAGGTGCAAGACACTGTGCCCGGCCACATTGTCATTTTAATATACAATAAAGTAGTAATTATTATTGCAAACTTCTTTAGCAACATTTTTGTATAAATAACTGGGGGATTCCCATTTTTCTGGCAGGCCCCAAAAGTAGTAAATAGACTTTTTTAAAGTCAGTGGATGAAAGTTGCAGAACTCCAGGAGATAAGATGTCAACCCCAGAGGTTTTTCAACAAAGTCCTTTTATTTCATGCATAATAAAATTATCAGATATGACCACCACTGATAGTTTCATACTCTGATGTTGAGTTTTCTCTCCTTTATGGTTGAAGTTTAAGGAGAAATTTGAAGCCCTTTCCCCTATTTAAGGGAGGGAGGAAACCAAAAGAGGTTTGTCCCCAGTCAAGCACTCTGGACAGGATCTGGTCTCCCTTGATGTAACATTCCTCTTCCTTTTATATCTAAAGTGATGAACAGTGATGATACAATTGTAACTTCTCTGCACTCATTTGCAACTCAGGAACTTGATCTTCCTGTTCCCTTATCCGCTGTTTCGAATAGCAAGCATGCAACAATGCTTGTGACATAATGCAAGAAATAGAGATTATTCCATCTTCTTATAACAAAGTCCTCTGTTTTTATGTCTTTTTCTTAACTAGGAAGTTCTTCTAAATCAGGAATGGATTGAAATCTAATGAACCGAAACTTTGGGTAAGTTTTCATATGAAACTTTTGAGTTAAGTTATTTTTTCCTAACTACATAGCAATACGTAGTCATTGTAGAAAATAGGAAGAGGAAAACAATAGAAAAGTACCACTTTAGAGGCAAACATTCCACATTTTATTGTATTTCCTTCTGATTATTCTTCAATAATTTTTAAAAATTGTGGTAAAATACACATAATATAAAATGTACCATCTGAACGATTTTAAGTGCACATTTCAATGGTATTAAGTACACTCACATTGTTGCACTGCAATAACTACCATCCATCCACAGAACTCTTTTTTATCTCACAAATTTGAAACTCTGCATCCAGTAAAGAATAACTCCCATTTCTCTCTTCCCCAGCCCCTGGCAAACACCATTCTCCTCTCTGTGTCTATCAGTGTGACTACTCTAGGTACTTCATATAAGTGATATCATGCTGTATTTGTCCTTTTGTGACTGGCTTCTGTCCTCAAGGTTCATCCATATGTCAGAATTGCCTTCCTTTTTAAGGTGGAATAATATTTTATTGCATGTACATACCAATTTTGTTTCTCCATTCATCCGTTCAGTGGACTGCTTCCATATTTTGGCTATTACTAATCATGTAATGGACATGGGTATATAAATATCTCCTTGAGTTCCTGCTTTCAATTCTTTTGGGTGTATGTAGAAGTAGAATTGCTAGATCATATGGTAATTCTATTTTTATCTTTCTGAGGAACTGCCGTACAGTGACAATACTGCATAAGATTTCTGATTTCTCCACATCCTTTCCAACATGTTATTTTCTGATTTTTTCATGGCAGCCATCTTAATGGGTGTGAGGTAGTGTCTCATTGTGCTTTTGATCTGCATTTCTGTAATGATTAGTGATATTGGGGACTTTTTCTGTACTTATTGGCCATTTGTATATCTTCTTTGGAGAAATGTCTATTCAAACTTTGCCCATTTTTTTTCAAGCTTTGTCTGCTTTATTCCACTACATTAAGTAAGGCAAAACAGTAACCTGTCATTCATAAAGATCAAGGAATGACTCGCATTCCCAAAAGGAACCAAAAAGGATGTTTCTTCACAAATGTGCATGACATTTATCATTATGCTGATAAGCACTTTAAACAACAACAAAAAAACTTTAGTGGATGAATCAAATAACAGATCCAAATTAACTTAGCTTTAAGTTTCCAAAATTGTAGTTTCAAATGCTAATGCTTTGCCCATTTTTTAATTGGGTTGTTTGATTTTTTTGTTGTTGAGTTACAGTTGTTCTTTATATACTCTGGATATTAACTCATTGTCAGATCCATGATTTGCAAATATTTTTTCTCATTTCATAGGTTTCCTTTTCACTCTGCTGATTGTGCCCTTTGATGCCCAGAGTTTTCAATTTTGATGTAGTCTAATTTATCTATTATTTATTTTGTTGCCTGTGCTTTCCATTTCATATACAAAAAATCACCAAACCCTACTTCATGAAGCCTTCCTCCTATGTGTTCTTCTAAGAGTTTTCTAGTTTTAACTCTTACATTTGTGTCTTTGGTCCATTATGAGTTAATTTTTGTATGTGGTGTTGTAAAGTAAGGGTCTCACTTCATTCTTCTGTATGTGGATATACAGTTTTCCCAATACCGTTTGTTGGAAAAAACTATTCTTTCCTCATTGGATGGTCTTGGCACTCTTGTTGGAAGTCATGTGACCCTATATATGATGGTTTATTTCTGGGCTTCTTATACATCGATGGTCTATACTACTGTTTGGATTACTATGGCTTCATTGTAAGTTTTGAAATCAGGAAGTGTGAGTCCTCCAATTTTCCTTTTTTTCAAAATTTTTTTAGCTATTCCAAGTCCCTTGAGATTCTATATAAATTTTAGGATGGATTTTTCTACTTTTGGAAGAAAATGTCAGTGGTTTTCGATGATTTTTTGCAGAGTTGCTATTACACTGTATGAACAATTTTATATTTTGCTTTGTCTTACTTAAAATTATTACATATATATACCATTACAAAATAAATGTTACTTATTATCCAAGCACTTCACAAACATACTTTACAGTGACTACATAAAGGAAATGTACAAATGGAAGTATAATTGAAAGGTCTGAAAATATGCCTCAAACCACAAGACGTGTGTGTACTTTAGATACTATCGTCATAAAAATGAGAAGAATTTGATTCAAGACATTTCAGGGTATTAGGATGTGATATTTATACTAAGTGAGTAGAAAGGAATTAATAAACAATTGTATTAGTTTAAAAGACCTTTTTAAAGTATATACTTACACTACTTTTGACTAACTACAACTCTGGGAATCATTTATTTACTCAACAAACATTTATTGATTCTCTATAGTTTCTGAAGTTCTGGGAACCTAGGTATGAATTAAATAGGGTCTTCACCCTCGGGGGAAGGAAATAAATGCTGAAATTTAATGAAATTTTCATGTGTCATGAACCTTTACTTGCTTATTAAATCTTTGCATCAGTCCTATGAGGAAGTGGTGTTAACTCCATTTAAAGATGAAGAAACGAGTGTTCATTTCAGAAAAGCTGAGCTACTTATTGAAGGTGACACAGATAGTGAGTGTCAAGGCTAAGTGATTAGCCCAGGGTCATTTGCCTCTGAAGCTCATATCCTTTTCACTTCTCCAGGTTGCTTCTGTCACTTATGACCTAACATGGAAGACTGGAGTATATGCAACTACCATGACAGCAATTAATTCTGCCATATTAGAGTCAAGAAAGTCTTTAGAGAAGTACCTTTATAACCTAAGACTTGAAAACTGATGAGTTTATTAGATAAAAATGGGGAGAGGAACATTCATTCATTCATTTATGTGTCCATTCACACAGCTTCTACAGTGTGCTAGTCACAGCATGAGAAGCTGAAATGAAAAAAATGAGTGAGACACTGTGGTCACCCACAGAAGTCACAGTCTACTGGGAGACAGTTAAGAAACTGAATTATGACAGAGCATGATGTTAGACTCTGCCATACTGTTGAAAACAGAGTCCTGGGGACACCATTCCAGAGTACTAAGGGCAAGTTCACAGTGGTAGAAGCGACACTAATGGCAGGTAGTGCTGAGCGTGGCAACTTGGACCCTCCATGCCAAGTTCAGGAGTTTGTGTTTCATCCTATAGGCAACAATGAGCCAGGAGTTTCTAAGTAGGAAAGTAACACCGTCAGTTCTGCTTTCTAAGAACCTATCTGGGCAGCACATGAAGCATAAAGAATGGGAACTGGGAAAGAGACAAGTGGCAGGAAGACCAGCCTGGAGGCTAGTGGTCCAAACTAAACAGGGAGAAACCCTGAAGCAGGCAGCAAGAAGAGAGACTGAGAAGCAAAGACCATACTTATGAGGTGAGGTTGGCAGCTTTGTTGCCTATAGGGTGTGTGCTGAGAGTAAGGAAGAATACAAGAGAACATGACCAAAGACTTTGGGGTCATGTACATGTTCAGAACCAGCATTGTTTGCAAGTTATGGACCCATGGAGCATTTAATAGATAAGGCTCTTTTGCATTAACAGTATTTCTATTTAGTCATTCTAAAATGACTATGTGTCTATTTTTATACCAACACCATGCTGTTTTGGTGACTATGGCCTTATAGTCAGAAAGTGTGATGCCTACGGATTTGTTCTTTTTGCTTAGTCTTGCTTTGGCTATGCTGGCTCTTTTCTGGTTCCATATGAATTTTAGAATTATTTTTTCTAATTCTGTGAAAAATGATGGTGGTACCTTGATGGCAATTGCATTGAATTTGTAGATTGCTTTTGGCAGTATGGTTATTTTCACAATATTGATTCTATCCACCCATGAGCATGGGATGTGTTTCCATTTGTTTGTGTCATCTATCATTTCTTTCAGCAGTATTTTGTAGTTTTCCTTGTAGAGGTTTTTCACCTCCTTGGTTAAGCATATTCCTAAGTAATTTATTTTTTTGCAGCTATTTTAAAAGGGGTTGAGTTCTTGATTTGAATCTCAGCTTGGTCACTGTTGATGTATAGCAGAGCTACTGATTTTGTGTACATTAATTTTGTATCCTGAAACTTTACTTAATTCATTTACCAGTTCTAGGAGCTTTTTGGATGAGTCCTTAGGGTTTTCTAGGTATACAATCATGTCATCAGCAAACAGTCACAGTTTGACTTCCTCATTACCAATTTGGATGCCCTTTATTTCTTTCTCTTATCTGATTGCTCTGGCTAGGACTTCCAGTGCTATGTTGAATAGAAGTTGTGAAAGTGGACATCCTTGTCTTGTTCCAGATCTCAGGGGGAATGCTTTCAACTTTTCCCCATTTGGTATGATGTTGACTATAGGTTTGTCACAAATGGCTTTTATTACCTTATGGTATGCCCCTTCTATGCCAATTTTGTTGAGGGTTTTAATTATAAAGAGATGCTGGATTTTGTCAAATGCTTTTTCTGCATCTATTGACATGATCATGTGATTTTTATTTTTAATTCTGTTTATGTGGTGTATCACATTTATTGCCTTGCAGATATTAAACTATCCCTGCATCCCTGGTATGAAACCCACTTTATCATGGTCGATTATCTTTTTTATATGCTGTTGAATTCTGTTAGCTAGTATTTTGTTCTGGATTTTTGCATCTATGTTCATAAGGAATATTGCCCTGTAGTTTTCTTTTTTTGTTATGTCCTTTCCTGGTTTTGATGTTAGGATGATATTGACTTTATAGAATGATTTAGGGAGGATTCTTTCTTTATCTTTTGGAATAGTTTCAATAGGATTGGTACCATTCTTCTTTAAATGTCTGATATAATTCAACTGTGAATTCATCTGGTCCTGAACTTTTTTTGTTGGTGGCTTTTTAGTTACCATTTCAATCTCACTCCTTGTTATTGGTCTGTTCAGAGTTTCTATTTCTTCCTGGTTTAATCTAGGAGGGTTGCATACTTCCAGAGAGTTATTAATCTCCTCTAGGTCTTCTAGTTCATGTGTGTAAAGGTTTTCAGTAGCCTTGAATGATCTTTTGTATTTCTGTGATATTGGTTGTAATATCACCCATTTCTTTCTTTTTTTTTTTTTTTTTGAGACGGAGTCTTGCTCTGTGGCCCAGGCTGTTGTGCAGTGGCGCGAGCTTGGATCACTGCAAGCTCCGCCTCCCAGGTTCACGCCATTCTTCTGCCTCAGCCTCCCCAGTAGCTGGGACTACAGGCGCCTGCCACCACGCCCGGCTAATTTTTTTGTATTTTCAGTAGAAATGGGGTTTCACCGTGTTAGCCAGGATGGTCTCGATCTCCCGACCTCATGATCCTCCCGCCTAGGACTCCCAAAGTGCTAGGATTACAGGCGTGAGCCACCGAGCCCAGCCAATATCACCCGTTTCTTTTCTAATTGAGCTTACTTGAATCTTTTCTTTTCTTGGTTAATCTCACTAATGGTCTAACAATTTTATTTAACTTTTCAAAGAGCCAGCTTTTCATTTCATTTATCTTTTGTCTTTTTTGTTTCAATTTCATTTAGTTCTGCTCTGATCTTTGTTATGTCTTTTCTTCTGCTGGGTTTGGGTTTGGTTTGTTCTTGTTTCTCTAGCTCCTTGAAGTATGACCTTAGATTGTCTATTTGTGTTCTTTCACACGTTTTCATGTAGGTATTTAATGCTATGAACTTTCCTCTTATCACTGCCTTTGCTGTATCCCAGAGGTTTTGTAGGTTGTGTCACTGTTATCATTCTGTTCAAAGAATTTTTAAATTTCCACCTTGATTTTATTGTTGACCCAACAATCATTCAGGAGCAGGTTATTTAATTTCCATGTATTTGCATACAACTATAATTTTAATCATTGATATATTGAAACATCATAGATTTTGGGACAGTGGATTAGTGAGTTTTTTCATAAGACAAAATTCAAAAAGATTAATGGATCTTTACTGAAATGAAATTCAAATACGAGTATTTGTCAGTTGCATAATATGCACTGCTATTTTAATGTTCCACAAAATTTTCCATTTTTACAGGCCATTACTGAGTCTTATAATTTATTTAGACCTGTTCTGTTGTGTAGAGTGTCACATTTGTTTTCATTAGTAAGTATAAACACACTAGTTAAAAGTGAAATTGCTTATACCTGTACTGATAAGTGCCACCAGTAGAGGGCGGCAGTGAGGCACTAGAAAGAAGAACCAACTTTACTGTCAGAAATTGCAGAAAACCGTCAAGATGGGGGTTGATGTGAATGACGGCAAACATTTGTTGGTGTTGGCATCCTCATTAACACCCAGACTGGCTTATTTTATGGGCCAGAAGCTTTGACATAAACATTGTCACAGAATTTTCAGATAATCTGATAATGTACTTATAAAGCAAATTTTGTGGAAATTTCTGGTAAGACTGATGAGAATCAACATTAAGAGATATTCTAAAAATTTTACATTATTTCAAAGAGACAAGAGTATGAATTAAAATTAAGCATGCTGTTCTTGTCACTTCAAGAGTGTAGGCAGAGAATTTAATACTTTAGAGATGACAAAAGGCATCTTACCTTCTTTGAACACTACAGATATCCCTGAAATAAAAAGAAATATTTCCAACTTATCAACAGTAAGCAATGCACAGGATTAATCAACAAGATAGGTTACCCAGATTTAGCTTGCATCTGCTTTTATAAACATTTAACAACAACAAATATTTTTTGAGCACCTACTATGTGCTAGGAGTTATTCAAGGTACTGAGGTTATAGAAGGGAACAAAACAAACTCATTTCCTGCCTTCTTGGAGTTTAAATTATAGTGAGGAAGACAGATATTAAACAAAGCTGCATAATTAATTCATTAGTTACAATGGAGAAAAACAAAAAATAGGAAACAATCTACCACAGGGCCCCAGATCAATGAGTTTGGCCTCAAATCAAAAAGGGGAAATTAAGTGAAATTGAAATAGGACTCAAGAACGAATTAAGTTCTTAATACCCATTTATGTCATTTATTTCCCTTAAAAATAAATAAAATAGATAAGGTAAAATTAACAGATTCATGGAAATAACATTACTAAAGAGTATTTGAGTAGCTGCTATACAGCAATAAAGTACTTTGCCAATGTAAAGTGTTGTTAAAATGCCCCATGCCTGCCTGAGCACCTAAACTTGATTAAAGTCTGTGTCAGTCATCAGCCCAGCCACAGCCACCCCTGAGAACCTGGACTTCCTGCTGACCGCAGTCACTTTCTACAAGGTCCCTCTGTGTCTTTGCTCTTGCTGTGCCCCACATCTCACCACATCTGTCTGATGTGCATCTCTTCACACTGCCATCCACCCCTGCTCCTCAGAGCCTACCCCTTTCACTTCCACTGTCTGGAGTCCTACCCATCTTTCAATGTCCTAGTCGGTCTTCTAAGCAAAGCGTATCTTAACTAAACCTCCTTTCCCTGTATAAAAAATCATTATTTTTTTCCTCAAAGTGGTAAATTAAACTACAAATCACAATCATTCTTTGCCCATTCTTTGCTTGGAATTTTGCTATATCTGAGCAGATTCAGTCTTTTATTTCAGACCTATTTGCCTGTCATCTCTAGTAAACCCTGAGCCCTAAAATTCCAGAACTATGTCTAATTCATCCTTATATCACCTTACAGATCCTGGCACATAGCAGGTATCCAGAAAATTTTGGTTAATTTGCATTATTGGTGCCACAAATCTTAATCTTTAACAATTTGATTTTTTTGAAAAGCATGGAATTGGTAATACACAGGCTATACGTTTTGGACAACATAGAACACACAAAAAATAAATGTATGTCAAATAAAGTTGCCATTTTTGCCTTTATCCTATTTCAGTTAAGATGAATATTTAGGAAATTACATAAAATTTTACTCTGTGAGAGGCTCATCTAGGAGTGAGGCAATTCTTGGAAAATATTAAGTTTGTCAGAGTCTGTAATTTGCTTCTACGCTCCTTATAAGCTAATGAGCTAGCCTGTTATTTCATGGATTTTGGCAGACGGCATGAAACTCCTGAGACAGAGACAAAAGGTTTTAGTACCCATAGTACATCAAGCAGCATGAACATCATGCTGACATCTGCTCCTCATGTCCTCCAAGTCCCACTGGAGTAGTAGTGAGTGGGCCAGTGGATGCTGTGCATGCAGTCAGTGGGTTTGTCTCTATTGCAGCCAAGGAACACTGGGCTTAGGGAGCCCACTGCTTTTATAAAAAGCCTGCTCTTGGCCAGGCGTGGTGGCTCATGCCTGTAATCCCAGCACTTTGGGAGGCCAAGGCGGGCGGATCACGAGGTCAGGAGATCGAGACCATCCTGGCTAATACAGTGAAACCCCGTCTCTACTAAAAATACAAAAAATTAGCAGGGCATGGTGGCAGGCGCCTGTAGTCCCAGCTACTGGGGAGGCTGAGGCAGGAGAATGGCTTGAACCTGGGAGGCGGAGCTTGCAGTGAGCCGAGATCATGCCACTGCACTCCAGCCTGGGTGACAGAGCAAGACTCCATCTCAGAAAAAAAAAAAAGAAAAAAAAAAGCCTGCTCTTTGTCCCAGTGAGAGACATGACCTCATTCCTCAAAGATGCTGCAAATTCTAATAAATTCCCAGGTAAGGAGAGGTTGGCCTGGCTTTTTTTGTTTGTTTGTTTGTTTGTTTTGTTTTGTTTTGTTTTTGTTTTTTCAGACAGGGTCTAACTCTATTGTCCTGGATGGAGTGCAGTGGCACAATCATAATTCACTGCGACCTCAAACTCTTGGACACAAGAAATCCTCCCTCTCAGCATCCTGAGTAGCTAAGACTATAGGTATGTGCCACCACTACAGGCTAATATTTTTATTTTTATTTTATCTAAGGTTCTCGCTATGTGCCCAGGCTGGCTTCAAACTCGTGGCTTCAAATGATCATCCTGCCTCAGCCTCCCAAAATGTTGGAATTACAGGTGTTAGCTACTGCACCAGGCCTGATCTCTCATTCTTGACATACACTGCAAGAACTTGCAGAGATGCCCAGAGCTTGTGGTAGATTGTCTGTCCCAAAAATATTCTGTGAAAGTAAGAATTGTAGTTACCCTGGAACATCAGAGGGGTTCAATAAATATTTGTTGAAGCAAATTGATTAATTAATGAGAAGAAGGAGAGTCACTGAGGAACCAAAAAAAAGGGGGGGGGGGGCAAATAGAGTGAATCCCTTGAGGGAATAGTTTCAAATTTCAGACCTGATAAGGAGGAAAAATCAGAAGAATAACAAAAGCTAAGACATTGTAGGCTACTTGGCTTTATAATAAAATATCTAAGCACATTACTTCATGGAAAATGAATCTAGGACTCACTATACAAAGTAATCACTGATGAAGTTCAAATAATCTAAGGTAATGCACCTATCTCCCTAAATCAGCACTGCAGTAATCACAGCTCTTTATATATGCAGGCTTTTGGCACGTACCAAATTTCTTTGAAAACTTTAGACACTATTCCCATTTACCAGCCATGATTTTTTTCCCCAAAATTGTAAATTGAACTACAAATCAAAGATCATATGAATAAATATGGTCAGACTTAAACAGTTCCTTAGAAATGTATAGTTAAGCAAATGAAATATCGTATCCTCTCAAGATTCCCTTGCAGGGCAGGAATTAAGCTGAAATATTTTGTGATGGTATTAGAAGTGAGGGACTTGAGGTATATTTAGGTCATTCACATTCAAAGTCCAGACTGGTGAGTAGAGTTCACATTCACATTGATAATTGTAAATACTCCTTCTCCGGACCACTGTGGCCCTCGTGTCCATAAAACTTACGGGGCAATCGTACGGCGTTTTGTTATCACACATCTCAACTTTTAGCCTCCCTGCCCCACTTTGTCCTGGATGCCTTCCAGTCTTCATGAGCCACTGCTGTAGTATCACTGCTCTCCATCTGCTGCTCTCATAATTGGAGATTGATTGCCTCCAGGGTTCACAAATGTTTCAGGCAACCTTAAATGATTTGAGTTTTTAAGCAACCATGAATTTTTCAGGCACTCCAGGGAAGGCCTTGTTTTAAGATTCATAATTCCCCTCTTCTCTTCTGTCCCTTCTACCCTCCCAAAGGATTTCACCCAGGCTTCCCTAAGGCCCTGAGTGAGAGGCTGTGTGAGCGAGCAGTGCCTTACTCAAAGCCTCCCCTCACACTCAAACTGGTGTCTCTGGCTGAGCCATCAAAGCCTTTCCTACCTCAGCATGAGTGCCTGGCCTTCCTAGGGCTCTTTCCCCTTTCCTCAAGTTTATGGAAACCATCATCCCTTTATCTTTGAAAGTCTTTGCAGTAGAGATGATCATCATTTCTTTCACCAGTCAGTTTTTCCTTCCCAACATCCCATTTTTACATAATTTATTTTTCCTTGACTTGAGATTGTCCATGCAAACCTCCCTGCTACAAGCCCCTTTGCTGTACACCTGATTAAATGCTGGAAGGAACAAGCCATGCGTTGTGCTAAGATTTTATCTTTAAACTAAGGACGCTGCAACTGAGTTAGTTTCTGTTAAATGCTTGAGTCGAGGGGTCATGCAAAGCCATCATAAATAGGTCAGATAAAGATGGTCTACAGAGAGAAATGAAGCAGACTTTTTCTGTTTCATTTACATCTGTAGGTACTCTTGCCCCACCTACCTAGCATGGTGCCTGACACATAGTAGGCATTCAAGTCTTAATGGAATGAATAAATCATACTGTGGAGAGAGAGAAAGAAAGGGAGGCAGGCTTCCACTAACAGCTTTCCATTTCCTTGTTCTAATCCCACATGAGGACTGTCTGCATTTCCCATCCTCATGTCCATCAATACATTCCCCTTTATGCCAAAACTAGTTTGGGTGTCTTTAATTTCCTAATGGTCTTCTTAAAAAGCAACCTCCGAAGAAAAATGTGACAGAACTCCAACTTGAGGATGCTTTTGCAGAGCAGGCCTTAGCCCCTATGTGTACGTAAATCTAGGCATTGTTGATTGAACAGGGATTCATTTAGAGCCCATAGGGAGGACTCCAAATGAATAGAGGTCTGATCAGGAGGCATTTGCCAAGTTAAGCTCCAGGAAGAGGAAGAGTGGGTTACAGTTTCACCTTGGACTTCTGGAATGCTGCTGGACTAACGTGGTGGTGCAGGAGGCTTCTCTGCATTTCTGCCTGTACCCTCAGTCACTGTGCAGTAGATCAAGAAGGGTCATTCTTTCCTACTCAGTGAAGCAGTAGGGAGACGGCCCCTGCCCAGGAGAGTATATTTCAAAGTGAGGGGGAGAGGGTAGTTGAAAAGCCATAGACAGTCATTCTAGGTTTGAAATATAGAAAAATAAAATATTCAGAGACAGTGTGGTGAATTTGTTCACAGTGCAGGTTTGAAGGGAGACAGATCTGCATTCCAACACCAACTCTGCAACTTACTGACAAGCTCTGTGATCTTTAATAAACTGCATCACCTCTTGTAGCCTCAGATTTCTCATCCACAAAATGAGAATAACAAGACTTCATAAATTTGGCATAAGTAATAAACATATGTAAGTTGATAGCAAGCTAAGTGTTCAGTAAATGGTGGGTACTGTTAGGATTGTTAGTGCTTTTGTAATAAAAACATTAGTGAAAAGTGTTTTCTGTTTTGATTTTTGAAGAGACAGGGTTTCATTCACTCTGTCACCCAGGCTAGAGTGTGGCAGTGTTATCATAGCTCACTATAACCTTGAACTCCTAGGCTTAAGGGATCCCCCCGACCTCAGCCTCTGGACTAGCCAGGACTACAGGCGTGCACAACCGAGCCCTGATAATTTTTAAAAATTTTTTTTGTAGAGATGGGGTCTCTACAAACAATGTTGTCTAGGCTGGTCTCGAATTCCTGGCATCAGGTGATCCTCCTGCCTTGGCCTCCCAAAGCACTGGGATTACAGCTGTGAGCCACCAGGCCCAGCCAAAAGTGTGATACTTTTATGTTAACAAAAAAGAGTGAATTTTTCTAACAAGTTAAGAAATATGGCACTAAAACATATACTTAATAGCTCTTTTTCACTATTACCTTTTAACCCTCAATCCCTGAGTGGTAATGTAAAAGAAGAGTGCAGTCAATATCTAACAAGACAGTAGTTACGCAGTAATAGTCATCAGTTGTGGCATCAATCAAGAATTAGTAGTATCAACTCCCTGAATAGGAGGCACACGTGAATTCTCATATACAATCTTCTGAAGACCTTAAAAGCAATTTGTAAATGATATGACCTGTAGATGGCGAACTTGGATAGGGGGAATATTAAGCAATGACTAAAAAAGAAAGCAGTGGTTTTTGTTTTGTTGATGACAGGACTTAGTAAAGTCGATACATTAATAAGTTCTCTTTATGACCACAGGCCCAAAGATTCTTAGCTGACACACCAGGTTCCTTCTGTCTGTGGGCAAGAGCCCACTCGCGGTCATGCCCACTGTTGTGGGACTAGACTGCATTAGCTGCTGGTAGAAACGTTTTGGCTCTGTTCGCACTGGCTGCTAGTCACTGATACAAGAGCAAGAAGTATCAAATGGGGAAGGTAAATAGCTTTCCTGGAAGTCTCTTGGCAGGGTACAGAAATGCATACGTAACACTACTTAATTATCTGACTACATCCTACATGTCCAAAGTATCCACATCTTTTGATTTAGATAAATAGTTATACTCTCCCTTGCTGCTTGTTGCCATTGTTGAGTATTTGTTCTTCACACTGTCCAAGGCAATCCTTTAGGGACCAATTACCATCCTTTATTGACATCATTTCACTGGCTGACAGAGACTTCTGGAGTGCCACACTGGGCATTCAGGACTCCTAAGAAAGCTCTTTAATACTTTTGTGTAATCTCTATGCCTTACATGAGAAATATGAATCTTTTTTCCTTAAAATTCTACTTTGGAGGACTAGTTTTACTGTCCCGGGTCACAATTGCATATATGTGGATTTGTGGGAAAATTAGTGTGACTTCCAAAACTGTGCCTGCTCATGCAGTGGCCTGGGATGTTTTGTTGATTCTTTCAGCTGTGAAACAGCCCAACATCCCACCCAACATGATAGATTGATGACCTTGTACTACATTATAAAGCAGGGTCATTATCCCCAGAGAGCCTCGCAGCTTGTGGGTCAGGTGAAGGGACGTCACTAGGCTTCCACAGTGCCTCTGCTCCGTCATTTATCACAAGGCTGTAATCATTTTCTACACATTGGCCTCCCCACAAATGTGTGCTTCTAGAGTCCAGAAACTGTGCCGTTTTCATCCCTTTACCCTTCACATTGTGAAGCACTGGCATATAGTAGGTACCTATGAAAATGTTGAATGAATGAAAGAATAAATATACATGCTTGGGAAGAACAAGAAGGCAGGAAGGAGGAAAAATCAGTTTAGGGGAGAAAAAGAGGAAAATAATCCAAGCACTTACGGAGAATTGTACCCATATTAGACAAACATTATTCCTAAACAATAGAAAAAGAGAAAAGCTGAGTAGATTGTGTATAGTCCAATCCATTTATTTTTACCAATCAAACTCTGAAGAGACTGACTTATAACTGAAATGCTAGTTCACTGTTACCAGTGAAGAACACGTCTTTCTAGAAACTACAATGTTTGTGTTCACTGAGAACATTACCCCTGCCCAGACCCACGTATTTCACTTCTTTATTTCAAAACAAAGAAAGCCCTTGGCTCTCAGGATGAGGCCATTTTGGTTTTGGGGTAGCTTGTAAAAGCCATGAGGTTCCAGTTAACCTAAAATATGAAAGTATAAAAGTTATCAGAGAATTCAGAAATTATAAGATGTTATCTAAGGGTTGATTTGGATTTAAAGGCACCCATTAGTAGAAGGCAGACTTTAGGGGATGGGAGTGAGGAACAATCAGAAATAGGCTCTGGAAGACAGTCCAA
Organism: Homo sapiens; assembly: GCF_000001405.40. Classification (NCBI taxonomy): domain Eukaryota; kingdom Metazoa; phylum Chordata; class Mammalia; order Primates; family Hominidae; genus Homo; species Homo sapiens. The sequence goes on from NC_000004.12 coordinate 112,329,713, forward strand.
ATAAGAGCAGGAATCCATTACCCCATGGCACTGCTCATGAGGTTGACAATGGGCCATCTGACGTGAAATCACAGCAATGGTCAAGGACATGAAGACACACACAAGGGTGGGAGGGGTATAGGCCTGTCATGTCTGTACATGGTAAGTACTCAATAAATACTGGTCGAATGAACAGGCTACTGTGTGACAGAGTTGCTAAGGGGAAGCCACAAACTACTTCACTAAAGGCGCAGTTTATTTACTTACTTACGTATTTACTTAAGTACATATGAAAAGGAATTGAAGTGACATGCACTACTAAAATGTACCAAAATCCAATGTAAGCAAAAGTTAAATTGAAAAACGCTGATTAGAAACCATTTAGAATAAATGAAGAGAGCAGCTTGGGTCCTGGAAACCTGTGTTGAATGAATCATAAAGTAGAGCTTACAGAAAGTTCTGAGCTTCCAGACAACCAAGTCAAAAGAGGAACAAGCTGGATTTGTACATCTTTCATTAGTTAGTAAAGGGGTGTGTATAAGTTCCTCTGTAAATGCAGACTTATTTTTGGAACTTAATTCCAAGAAGAATTTATTGCATGGACACTTAAATAAGAGAAAGGAGACATTTGGCAACAGTTTTATAAAAGTACCTACATGTCATTTACAGCCTAAGCTATAAAGGTAATCACCACCAGTGTAGCCTGTATAAATTAATACACAACAGGGAGAGGGGAAAAAGGAAATGGGTTAAGGTATGAACATATGCACTACCACCCAAAGAGGGAAATATGAATATTGGCTACGGTCCTTGTTTTCGCAACTGGTTAAAAGGCTAGAGTTATAATCTACTAAATCTAGTACTCCCAGTGATGTGAGAGGTTCCACTCCTGCTTCTTCCCTTTGATTCCTGGACCCATGTGGCCTGTCCTTGGGTGAAACAAGACCATATATTGGTTGTTGATTCAGAGCATATACTATTTTCTCTATACCAGTACCCATGCCTTATGTCTTCCAGCCGGCTCTAAAACAGAATGTGTAATAGATTATTGCTTTGCTCTGTTAAGGCCAGCTGCTCCAGGGTTATGGTATGACCGATCGATGAATCCTGTGGGAAATGCCCTGCCCTATAGCATCCTTGGCCAGAGGCAGTGTTGTATGGACTAATGTGGGTGAATTAAGCTTTCAGTAAGTCCACAGACGGTATTGCTAAGAGAAGCATAGCAAGGGAGCCAAACCTACATCCAGAACACATGTCCATTCCAGGGAGAAAAACTGCTACAACTCCATGATGAAAGAGGTTCACTATGATCAGCCAACAGGAGGTTAGCTGTTCCCTCCTCATCCCTCAGGTTTAGAGCTAAATGGAGGGCTCACTATGCTGGCGTTTCAAGCATTCAATAGTGGTGTGGTAGCCAGATTTGCTGTGGTAAGGGGAACTTCATGTGGTTGAGTCCATGCATAACCTTCATCTTTGTCACCATGGCCACTTTGTTCTTGAACTCATCGAGGAACAATAGTGAGAGTAGGGAGACAGGAAAACGGACATGTGCAGTACTGGTCTTTTGCCCGCTGATTATTGAGAGGGTGTCTTCTGCAGTGGGAGACCTTTGGTGGACATTTACATGGGGCACAAGTATTCTGATATCATAAACCCATTCTGAGAGGTCCATCCATATCCATACGTGTATCTCTACCCTAAACCTCCTTGTCATCATCCTTCAATCTTCTTCCTTTCAATTTTCTCATCATCTAACCCAACCTTTCAGCTCTGTCTTTGAATTGCACTGTGATTATCTTTCCTTGCAGGCAAAGTATACAATTTGAGGTACCACTCAAAGTCTGTTTATTGGGAGGATTTATCTTCTCACTTGTTTCTCATGGCTGACAGTGAGGAGAGCTCCAATGCTGTATCAGTTTACATATGACAGTGTATTATGCATAAACATCAGTAAATCAGCCTTGGACATTTTCTATCCTGTCCATAGAGAAATTCCCATTACACTGTATATGTGGGTCTAAGGAGATGTGGCATCACAGCAAGACTAGAAGGAGAGTTTGAGCCACTTGCTCATGAAACTTTCTTATGCCTTTAGCAGTTGTGAAGTCTGATCTTGTATATATCTCTTCAACTTGATTATGGAGAGCTGCTGTGCACATCCACATTTTCAAATAGGTCAATCAAGTCGCATCTGATTCAGGTGGGCAGCTTGGGTCTCATACATAATCAGTTGATTTCCTATGTCTAGACACTCAGTCTCTACCAGTACCAAATAACAACCACTAAGTGAGGTTTCTCAAGGAAAATAGCTATTTGCCAAAGAGGTATGACTTTACGCTCAAGTCTGGGATCTGTACTATTATTATCTTATTCAGGAGTTCCATAGGATCAATATGGTATCCTGATTTGCCACAGTCACTCACTCTACGGTCCCAAGGGCTAAGTGGCAAGAGAGGTTTATTCTTTAAACTGAACTGGCAAAAGAATATTATTTTGTTTGGGACCTTCCTTAAATATAAAGCCTATGGTTTATCAATAAGGAGGAAGGAAGAATACCAGTTAATTTGCCTGTATAATACTGAAAGTCCACCAAGTATTTGTGCCTCTTTCTTCCTAGAACTGGACGCAAGAAGGTACAGCAAATTGACTTTCACAATTTGAAGGGGATATCTCAATATACTCCAGATCTCTAGACCCCCAGAAACATCAATGAGTTAGTAGATCTCTGAACTTTTATGGAATTTTTCTCTTATCCTTAGTCACATATATGTCTTGCCAAGGCATTTTGTGTATTTGCTAATTTATGCTCAGCAGATTCATTGACTGGTTGCCATCAATTACATGGCCATGGTCTATGTCCTGTGAAATGGTGAAATGATCAAGGTCCCTGAATACTAGGTTATGACACAGTACAGTCAGGGAGCCAATGTAGGAATTCTGCCACTTGCTGAGTAAGGTCTTCTCTAATTCTAAATACAGGAACTTGGAAAATAAATACAGGATGAATGCTTGGACCCAGAATGAACACACTGAGATAGATTTTGTCAAATATTCCATTTATCACCCAACCCTCTTAAGCTTTTCTTCTGATTGTTGGACTGTAGTGGTGTTATATGTCCCTGGAGTTAACTGTAGCTCAGAGACAATTCCAATAATCCCTAAAACTTCTAACTATTTTAGTTTCTTCATTGTACATTTACCCTCGTGAATTACTGCAGATCACTTTGGGGAATGCTAAAAGGAAGCCTTTTGATGCACTTTCAAAGAACTTGGCTTCAAGGGTCCCCAGTCTCCATTTCATGGAAGGGGCTTTTGGTCTATGAACCAACTCAGTTCTGGGAAGTAAGAGACTATGAGACTGTGGTCCCTCAAGCCACACTTCTATTTGCTAGGGTTAGGATTTTCAATTATAATACATAGATGAAGTAAAACCTTAGTGTACTGCCCATGTATTAAAGCTGAAGCTAAAGGTCCTTGCAGGTCAAACCATTCTGATTACTGATCTGGCCCTGCATAATTATGCCCACCTTGCCTCTTGGTTTATGCCTCTCCAATATCCTCTCAATTCTAAAGAGTATATCATGGAGTACATTTCTACTTTCATTCCCAGATTACAAAGTATAGTTGCCATCTTGCTTTTTAGTGATGTGTGCTTTCTCACTAATATGTTTTGTAATGCCTTGTTACTAGGACTATCCCTGGAACATAATTAGGAGTGATACGCTGCAGGGTTGAGTGAGCAGATCACCCTCACAGATCCATTCTAATATTTCTATCTCTAAGTATCTGTGTATCTTCATCCACATTATACTAATTTCTAACAGCTTGACTTCCTTTAGTGTAGGCCACCACTGAGTCCAGGTACCAGCCAACCAACTGAACAAATGGTCATAACCAATCTCACCTACCAGAACTAGCGCATTTACCAGAGTCTCTGGTAGATGAACCCACATTAATGTTTGACCCAAAGGAGCTATATTCCTTTCTTCTTCCTTCATTTAGCACTTAAGAATCCATTTTCACACATATTCCACTAGTTTCTGTTGACATAAATTAGAAAAAAAATTCTACAATTCTATTGGTGTGTAAGCCCATTCTCGTGTAGGTGTAACTTGGTTAGACTCTCCTTCTGATATTTAGACACTTCTGCCCCACAGCCTCTCTAAGAGAAGCACGAAGCTTCTTAATGCTTTTTCTTTTCCTTTTGCTTTTGTTTTTTGTTTGTTTGGTTTTGTTTTTTGTGTTTTTTTTTGGTAAACAGCATAAATAGGCTTTATTTTTATTTATTTTTTAACTTAACATAGAGCAACACTGATGTATTGTTTGTTCTTTATTTTATAATTTTTACAAATGTATAGTACTGTGTAACGAACACCCTCATCAAGATACAGAACAAATTTCCCTCTAAAGCATGCTTTAGATGCATATCACAAATTTCCTGAAGAAAAACAGTTTTCCAGGCCAGGCTCAGTGGCTCACGCCTGTAATCCCAGCACTTTGGGAAGCCAAGGCAGGCAGATCACTTGAGGTCAAGAGTTCAAGACCAACCTGGACAACATGGTGAAACCCCATTTCTACTAAAAATACAAAAATTAGCCAGGTGTGGTGGCATGCGCCTGTAGTCCTAGCTACTTGGGAGGCTGAGCCATAAGAATCGCTTGAACCTGGGAGGTGGAGATTGCAATGAGCCAAGATTTCACCACTGCACTCCAGCCTGGGTGACAGAGGAAGACTCTGCCTCAAAAAAAAAAAAAAAGAAAAGAAAAGAAAAGAAAGGCAGTTTTCCCTGTCCATACTGCCAATAAATGAAGCTTTGTTCAGGGCCAAGTTAATACGGCAAGAATCTAAATAATATTGTTTAGGATAGTGTATACTATGGGGATATCAAATTTTAAGGTGGTTTTAAAGTTTTAAGGTGGTTTTAAAGCTTAGTTCTTATATAGGAGTCTTGGCATATTAGTAGGGCATGTATATCCCAGGGGATATAGGGGAAAGTCACAATAAGGAGGAATTTTACCTATTATTTTAAACTAGGTAACTCAGAGGCTCTTCTAATGTTGGACCCAAATCCTTGTACTATAGGATTCTTTTGGATCTAATTATTCTGCTGGAAGCTGGATGAGAAAAAAAATCCTGGGCTACTTTGTTTTGTATGATCATTGTTGCCCATATACAGTTACTGCTAGAGCCAGAAAGGAAAATTGGATAACAAAGGTCTTGGATTAGCTTTTGCCAACCTACCACATTCCAGGGGTTCACAGTACCTATGTTAAGATCCTTTTTTAAACAGGGCACAGTGGCTCATGCCTGTAATCCCAGCACTTGGGAGGCCGAGGAGGGCGGATCACCTGAGGTCAGGAGTTTGAGACCAGCCTAACCAACATGAAGAAACCCCATCTCTACTAAAAACACAAACTAGCCAGGCGTGGTGGCACATGCCTGTAATCCCTGGCACTTGGGAGGCTGAGGCAGGAGAATCGCTTGAATCCGGCAGGCGGAGGTTGCGGTGAGTCAAGATCGTGCCATTGCACTCCAGCCTCCAGCCTGGGCAACAAGAGTGAAAATCTGTCTAAAAAAAAAAAAAAAAAAAGATACTTTTTGAGTCAGGGAAATGCAGTCATTTGCTTTTGGGCACTTATTGTGATTCTAATCATTGAGCTGTAGTCTTTTCTAAAGAACAAGGTAAGCCAGATGATCAAGGTTCTTTTCATTTTGCAAAAGGTAGATATGAATGCCTTTGTGGGAGGATGGTTGGATTCCTGTCCTCTTGTAGTATTGGATGTTCTTAGCAGGAAGTAGAAGCTGGAGCCATCTTGGGATAGAAATGAACAAGCTCACTGGAATCCTGTTTGAGGGAATGTGGCAGGACAGGGACTAATATCTGTGTGGGGTGAGTTTCTGAGTACCAGCTTTGAGAGAGCTGCATAATGGATATAATATATTCAAGCCACATAATCTGGAGGCAAAAAATATAACTCTTTATATTTTTCAATGACAGTATAATCTCTATCTCAAAATGCCATTTCATCTGAATAAGGGAAAGCTTGACCTAGTTAAATCTAGGCAGATTCCAGTAATAAAGGGTCTTCCTCATTAATTCTTGGCTTTCTTGGACTTCTCCTGAGGAGGACAGGTGCAGGGCTTTCACAGAGGGATCACAGTTCAACAGCTCTGATTCATCCCTTGCGTTCTTGGGATTTTTATTCAATCTGAATGGATATGGGAAGTGCTTATTTTTTATAGCATGTAAGTTCTCTGTCATGAATCTTTCATGGGGCTTTGCATTCTGAAAAAATAAATGAACGTAAAACCAACCAACCAACCAACCAACCAATCCATGCCCTTGGCTGGAGTCTACCTCTCAAAACGATTAAATCTACTTTTGTTTACTGCTATATCCCTAGTACCTACAATAATGTCTGGCACATAGTAGGTACCCAATAAATATTTGTTGACTATCTGAATGAATGAGTGAACAGGGGAATGAATCAAAGTGTAGGTTTTCACTTGCTCTTTTCAGACCTAGTGATCCCAGCAGAAAAGTAATCAAATGAGCAGCCACACACAGTGGAGATAGGTGAGGAAGTACCCTGGGCAATGGAAAGTAGATTCATTAAAATAATGGGTAAAATGAGATTCAGACAGATGTCACTTAGTGTTAAATCCAGGGAAGACAGACCTACAGAAACTACATTTGGAAATATTAATTTTCCTGTTGAAAAAAAAAGTTTTAACTGTAAGCAAGTTGCTCAATCTCTTTGGGCCATTTGCCTCTTTTGTAAATAGAGATGACCAAAAATTAATGAATGAAATTTAGCTGAATATAATTTTTAGCATCTTTATGGAAGATGCTAAAATTCACATATCATAAAATTTAACCATTTTAAGGGTATAATTAAAGTTTTCTTCCCTCTTAAATAGCTTGAATCCATTTCTTATTAAATATGTACTTGGCAGTTAATATTTTGGAGCTATGGATGGGCAACAACAGCGTCTTCTATAGTTATCTTTTTTGTTCATGGTCTTGGTCAGGTATTAATAATAGTGTTATGCTGGCCTTATAAAATGAACTAGGAATGTCTTTTATATTTTTCTATTAGCTATATAATCTAAATATCCTAGAAATTACACATTTCCAAAGAATTTGGTGGAACTAGACTACAACCACATCTGAATCTGGTACCATTCTTGGAAATAATAGGCAAATTTTTCCACTTATTCTTAACTAGAAATTTTTTTTTTCTTCAACCAGTCTTAATCATCTATTAAAAATTGTTCTAGAAAATGTAGTTCATATAAGTTTTCATGTTTTAAAATTGGATTTGTACATCATAGTTTATTATACTTCTAAAGTCTTAATCATAATACTGTTTTTATTCCTTTTCCCATTCTGAAAAGAGTCCTTTTTTTATTAGATTTTCCTGAAAGCCACTTTACTGACTTTTTAAACAACAAGATTTTTAAATTTATCTACTTTTTATAAATCATTATTTAAAAAATATATATGTTTATGCATTCCCCCAACTTCCCAAGTTTTAGTTTGTCTCTCTTTTTACTTCTTTGAAATAAAAGCACATTTTATACTTCTTCGCTTTTATTATTAAAGATTATAAAGCTATAAATTTTCATCTAAACATAGTTTTGGTGGCATTAAGTCTGGAAATGTATTGGAAAATGACAATAAGATGGTTTCTGAGTGCTATTGGAACTTCCAAGTGTTGGGCTGGGTGCAGTGACTCAAACTTGTAAGCCCAGCATTTTGGGAGGCTGAGGCAAGAGAATTGCTTGAGGTCAGGACTTTGAGACAGCCTGGGCAACAGTAGTGAGACTCCATCTCTACAAAAAAAATTTTAAAAATAAAAATGAGCCAGGCATGGTGGCATATGCCTGTAGTCCTAGCTACTTGAGAGGCTGAAGTGGGAGGATCATTTGAGCCAGGAGTTAGAGGCCACAGTGAGCTACAATCATGCCACTCCATTCCAGCCTAGGCAACAGAGTAAGACTGTGTTTTTAGAAAGAAAAGGAAAGGAAAGGAAAGAAAGAAATTTCCAAGTGGCTCAATAAAAAAATTTAATTTTAAATTAATAATTTAGAGCTTTTATGAGTTGTGGTCAAATAATTTTTTCCTTTTGAGGATTTGTGAAGCATCTCTTAAGCCTACTATACTGTGAATTTTCAGAGATGTTCAGTAATAAGTTTAAATATATGTTTATTTTGCATAAAAGCCGAATGGTTTGCTAATAACTTTTTAAATAATTTTGATTAATAAACTATTTTATGTCATTTTTCTTTTGAGAGGGAGTATCACTCTGTCGCCCAGGCTGGAGTGCAATGGCATGATCTCGGCCCACTGAAACCTCTGCCTCCCATGTTCGAGCCATTCTCCTACCTCAGCTTCCTGAGTAGCTGGGATTACAGACGCACGCCACCATGCCCAGCTAATTTTTGTATTTTTAGTAGAGACGGGGTTTTGCCATGTTGGCCAGGCCAGTCTCGAACTCCTGACTTCAGGTGATCCACCCACTTTGGCCTCCCCAAGTGCTAGAATTCAGGCGTGAGCCACCGCGCCCGGCCGTCATTTTAATTTTTAAGTGTATTCATTCTCAATGTTTTTTCCCCTAGGAAAACTGTTTTTGAGTAAAATATCTTGAATAATTGTAAATCTACCCAAAAAGCATAGAGTTTTTTTCTATACTTTTTTTCTACCTTGTTTAAATTAGAAAGTGATACTAAACAGACAATCAGAAAAAATGTATATAAGGGATAAGAGGAAAAGTCTATACTTTTTTTACCTTGTTTAAATTAGAAAGTGATACTAAACAGACAATCGAAAAAAATATATGTAACGGATAAGAGGAAAAGCCTACAGAAAAGATGCTTAATAAGTTTCAAAGTGGTGCAGGCATAGAAAAATGCATACCACTTGGGAAAGGTATTTGCTAGTGTCTGGAAGGCTGCAAATAAAGTCATAAGGTCTTTCAGAGTATGTTTTACCTTGGAAGTGAGTGGAATGTAAGAACAAGCAGAGAATTACATTAACTATAAATAAATTTCAGCGTGAATATAGATATTGCCAGCATTAAAGGAAGATGGCATGACAACTACTAGCAAAGTTTTCATTTAATTTCTGAAAGTGCCAAAGTGGTTCACAGGAACAGAGATACAATTATAACTGGTCACCTACCTCATGGTCACCTCAGGAGAGCAGGCAAAAACTACCTGCTACGTAGTGGGCAAACCCATTTAACACCAAACTCAGAGTTCCTTCCACTGTGCTGTAAAGCCTCTCTAGCATATGCTTGTGAAGAAAATGGCTACTTTAAATAAGAAGCACTACTGAGAAATGTTCTTTACTCTGCATGCATCTTCAAAAATATTTGAAATTACCCACAATGAGAGACACAGGTGTGTCCAGAACTCTTAAGTCAAGGGTAAAGAAGATGGACCAAATAATGAAAGGTGTGGGTTAGACAGTTTGTACAAGGTTATCCAAATGAGGGACAACCCTGGATCTGAGCACAAATCCTGGCTCTGAGTTTCCTGGGAGTAAAAGCAAAAAGGGATAATATGATGAGGTTCCGGTGTCCATAATCAAATAAGAAGAAATATATTTCTTTGGCATAAAAATCAAAATGTCTCTTGCTTTGATATCATAGGACAATTTACTATGTGGGGCTTTAAGTAAAATAACATTAGATAGTGTAACAGACATCTTCAATAGCAATTTTTACACAATAATTATTTTCAATATTACGAATAATTTATAAACCAATTATTTGTTTATAGATTAGTTAACTACAAGATAAGAAAAACAAAATCAGTCTTCTTTATAACACTTTTCTTTTAAAAAAATAATTTAAACATTATTAAAGGAATGTCATCAGTAGAATATAGACTTCACTAATTTTCCTTTGTTTTAACTAAAAAAATACATTTTCTGCAATGTTGTATAATTTTTAGTTTGCCATACTTTGTTGAAATTGAATCACTGCATCATCTATTGGCAGCTCAGTTGGATATAGTCAGCTGAGTTGTCTTTGTCTATGAAAAAGTGAGCTACCTAGAAATTACTGCATCTAAATGTTTAATGCTGCCCTGCAAAACTGTGACATCACTGAATCTCTTTCTCTTGATTATCCAGGATCAGATTCCCTAGACAGAAGGTGTGGTTAGCACTTGATCCTAATCAAAGGACCAAAAATACTTGGTTATAGTTCATTTTAATCTTAGTTGAAAAGATTGTGGATAGACACTTAGGAAAAAGTGAAATCAGCATAATATCGTCTCTTCAAGTGCAGTCCAGCTTTCAGAATGGTAACTTGGATTTCGGCCTCCTTGTAATTCTCCCTGATGAAAACAGAAGGATTTCACAGCACAGAAAGCAGTGGTTTATGAGTCTGGGTATGGACAGACACACAAGAGAACTCTGTTCATCGTCTTCAAAGTGATGCAGCGATGGCAAGACTGCTGCTGTGGCCACATGTAATATAGCCTGTAGCTCTTTAAAGAGGATTAGCCTTAGTGCGCTGGGAGCATTCAATGCTGGATTTCATGTAGAGCAGAATATGCTAATGAAATGTAAATGTCTACGGCAAACATTGCGTAATATAGAAAACCTTCAAAACTGAGCTTTGTCTCTTGCACGGTGGGAAACCAAACTTTATTACATCAGAAAAAAGTAAAAAAGAAATAACCTTATACTTTTCTGTCCTATGTATCTGCTTCTAAAAAAAAGTGAAGTTAAATGCATACACATACGTATTTATACTTAAATTAAATTTCAATGTTATTAGAAAAAGTAATTTCAGTCACTCAAAAATCTCTTACTAGATCTATGCCCTTGGGTGGATGTAAAATCATTTATCTCTGAAGAAAAAAATACACATAATATGGATTTTCTTAAACACTGTTATTAAGATTACAAAGGGCTTACAGAGTAGATTCCCCCCTCAACCCTTTTCACCTGAAAATTTCTTATTTGTGATTTCCACTTTGTGCGTGAGCAATGTCCTTCTACTCAATGTTGGGAAATGCTACATCTTCATAATTTTCCACATAGTGCTTTTACTACTTCATAGGAAGTCGGTATGAGATTTGATCAGTTTTTTAAAACTGCACATGCACTTAGTTAAGATATCAAAGTTATTTTCATTTTAGTATTAGAATTTCAGAACGCATTTGGTATTAGGAAAGTGAATTCACTGTAAGATGTGTGATTTGCAGTCCATGTAATGATGTGTAGCATCTTTGAATTCACGCACGTGGTTCCCAAAGATTGAAAGCCCCCTAAAGATTTTATCTCAATTGCTGGGAAATAAAGATCCCAGCAAACACATGGAACTGGGTGCTTAGTTACTAGCATTTCCCTACACTCAACCAAGTAGCTTAGGTTCTCTTGGTTTTTGTTGGTCGGTGGTGTGTGTGTCTGTGTGCGTGTGTGTTTTATATCTCAGTTTTGAAGGGTTTGTCTCTGTAGACATAGAGGGATGGTAATACATATTCATGAAAGCGTGTTCTTTCCAGTCCCTGTTAACACTGACAAAGCCTTAGCTGTTTCACACAGCAAGCTGACTGGGATTGTGTGTGGGGGCTGCATGGCCAGATTAGTGCAAACAGCAAGCCCACTCTGCTGCTCGTTAGGCCTTGCCTTCCTGACAATTTCCCCAATTGTCGCTTGTGACAAGGCTGTCATTAGGTGATGGCTTCTTTTGGCCATTTTCAGATAAAGATAATTTCCTTAACTTCCATTTTATTTGACAACAGGCAGTTTGGGAGAGAAAGGAAGTGCTTCAGTAGTATATAGATTAGGGTTTTGTCACTTCAAAGCCATCTTTGATCTAAAAATATGTGCTGTACCAAATTCATTATGTCTTTTTTTAAAGAGCTTTTAAATTTATTGATCTTCTCCTCAATTATTCTCCTTTTACGTCCAATAATGATGTGCGAGATGGTAGTGTTGGGCAAAGCCTAAGGAGGAGTGTGGGGTGAATGCAGCCAACTGGTCACTTCTGAGGTCATTACAAGAACGAAACAACAGGTGCTTTTGTTTAGTGTTGATTCTTTTCTGAATCCCTGTGTGGACAAAGGCTTCTCTTCTATTTATTGCTCAACATAATGATATCGGTGCCAAGAGAATAAGACAAAATTACGTTTGGTATTACAGCATAATAAGTCATAGCGTGTACAAAAATTGTGCCTACAGTTGCTTTCACCCTCACCTTTGAGGCCACAGGTTTCTCCAGCCAGCGCAGGAGTTCTGTGGAGAAAGAGCAAGAGACTTCTTTGTTGACCAACAATTTGACTTCCTCTAGAAGCAAGCTTACATTGTGCTGAAACTCAGCTTGCCAAAGTTCTTAGAATTGAATCATTAAAAAAATCATACAGAGAAGAAGAGAATAAGAATTCCTGTGTGAAAATGTACTTTAAAAATAGCACTATGAGCATTTATGGCTTAGACAGTAGGCCACTTGTTTAGAAGGTCCACTTGTCCTCCTTTTGTTGTTGTTGCTGTTGTACACAATGGTTGTGTGGAATTACTATGTTTTAAACAACACCTAGGACAAAGGGGTGTACAGTTTACATCCAAACTATCATGATTAGCAATTGTCTCCTAAAACTTCACATGTAATAACCAATTTAGGACAGAACAAGCTACTCATTTCCACTCCTGCAATTAGGAAAAGGAGGTGAAAATAAACACCTTAATTTCATTTTTTTGGTCTAAATGTTATGTTACTTGCCTCTTGATAGTCTACTTTATAATTTAGAATGATCTAGATGCTTTTGATATTTACTATTTTAGCAAAGAATTTCAAAATCTTATATATTAAAGAAAATATGTAATTTTAAAGCATGACCTCAGGCTCCTAAAAGCAATGACAATTGCTTCTTTTGAAAAATCACTTTTCTGAATTTTCAAAAGCTAGTATAACACAATGCCTTTCATTTTGCCTAACTAGTTTAGAGGTCTAGGACTCTATCCATGGACCTTCAATCCACAGTAAATTCTGGATAAAAACAGCCAGCATTTTCTATATGTCATGTACTTTTATCCTTACTAAGAAGTAGATACAATTGTTAGCTCAATTTTACAGATGAGAAAGTGAGACACAAAGACATTAAGCAACTTGCCCATTCTCTCATATTCCAGTAAATGTTAGAGCTAGAATTCAGACTTGGGTACTTTAGATCCAAAGCCTCTGCTCTTATTGCTGGGGCCCAGAATACATGGGACCTGGAATACCTACATACGCTTCTCCTGATTCCTCCTGGTACAGAACAAGTAAATGTTAGTTCTTCTCTCCCCTTCCATCCCTTCAGCTCCCCAGTCCTGGTCTCCTGCCCTACACAGTCCAAGCAAGTGGGCCAAGAGATTGCAGCAAAGGAGAGGGGCCAGAGAGGAATCTTATCTTCTGTCCTGGCTTCTCCAGTTTTCCTCCTGCCTGCACATTAAACACACAGGGACTGACGTGCTGAGACCTGGTAAATTCAGACAGTGGGGTTCACGGTTCATCGTATCCTTTGAAGGACTCCTCCACCACTTCATTCAAGATATCTGATGTCATTTCTCTTGACTTCGTTTTAACTAGAAAACCTTGATTTTGATTATTTTTTAATTTTTGGTGAAATCAGTAAATGCCATTTTGAAGAAAGAAAGAAGTAGACTATGAAGGAGAGTGTTTTGGGGAAAGATCTCTGTGTCGTCTTAGAGTTCACCTGCTTTGTGACTAGTGAATGCACTACAGAAACTGGCAGACAGCAACACCCTCAGCCTGCCTCGGAAGAGACAAAAGTAAATACCCGTCTCAAAGAGAATGCACTGAAATATGATATCAGCTGCAAGAGAGGGCCATCTCCTCCGGTCAAATGAGAAAAATCATATTATCCTCGCTGTGGTATACAAATAGCTTGTAAGCCACATTCTCCATTTGAATGATAACAATAAAGTGCTAACCTCGCTGCTGCAGGCCAGCCTGATCCCATCTCCAAACACAAACACTTCTGCCTGGGTTTTGGCTGGGGGTTGTGCTGTGGCCTCCCAACCCCCACCCTTTCCCCCCCTTCTCCCCCCTACCCCCGTTAATTGGCTGAGACCACCAGAATTTGGAGGACACAGATGTCACTGATAGTTTTCCTAGGGAGCACATTCATGCCCATCTGTTGCAGCCTAGAAGGCTGTTCATATATCCACAAGGCCTTCATTTAATTCTTGTCAGAAAGTAATGTAAATCCAGTTTACCTCAGAGGTCGCAGGCGAGATTTATGCCAATGAGCCCCCTGCAATTTACACACACTGTAGTTGTATAGGATGAAAAGAAAGCCTTTCATGTTGGTGCATATTAACAAGAAAGCCTGCCTTCCGAGAGAGGCTTTTTGATTGAGGTTTCTCCTGATTTTAATACAGCCGATGCCAGTTGGTATACCCAGCTTTAGAAAAGCGGGGAAAAAATCTAATCTTTAAACTGAAGTTTCTTCTTTTATAAGAAGTAAAAGAGAAAGAGTGAAATCCTAGCAAGTGGCACTGCCATGTCTTTAATTATCTCTTACTAGACAAAACTCCCTCGCACTTGGAGAAGACAGTGTGACAGGAGAGCACGTTCCAGCCTGAACTGCTGCGAGTGGAAGTCTAGGGAGAGCTCAGTTGTAAGCAATGATCTTTCCAATGTGAAAATAGTGGGACTGAACAGTTGAATTAGACTTCTGACTTTTTGTCTGTCTCTTTCTAGTATAGTTAAAGTATGGAGTTTGATAATTTGGATCAGGCTAGGTAGAAATTGATTCATCAGTAAATTGGAAGAAGACATATGTGATATATACATAGAAAATAATTCATAGAATTATCTTATTGGAAGTCTAAGAGCATTAAAAAGGACTTGGGTTACATCTTTCAATGTATTGATACATTTTGAAATATTCAGGACTGTGTAAGTAGGCTGGAAGGCAAATGGTTTTAAAAGCATTCATGGGGTCAAAGACTCCTGGAAATTCTGAATACACACCTTGTTTAGTATGTGACCTTGGGAAAGTTACTTAACCTCCATGACCCTCAACTTTCTCATCTCTAAAGTGGGGATCATAAAGCCAATATCACAAAGTTTTGTGTCTGAGGTGCACAGCATAGCACCTAAAGTACAGAAAGTATTTAACCAATAGCAATTTTCCCTCTCCACCTTGTCTTTTGGTGGTACCTGTGACAGCAAATTACAGATTTAAAATGTTAGTTAATTTGGTTCAAAACCTCTAAGCATTCAACTCACCAGACTACTTTTTCGTATTTAAAAAATGTTTAAAGATCAATGAAGTTGGAGATTTTCTTTCCCACTGTTTAGAATTTTTGTTGTCAGCTGTTTAATTTTTTAATTCTGTAGAAAGTAGAATAATAGAAGTGTGTTGGTTTCGGTAAAAGTAGGCATGGCTGCCATGCTCATTCAGAGTTGTAGCCTCTGATTTCCCAAGACAGTGTTAATAGGGGGCGTGCTTCTCGTGTTTTTATAGACAGTGCTCATTTACCCATACTAATGGCTTTGAAGTATATGGTATGATTATTTTTGCACCACATTTAACTTTTTGTTTGTATTTTGCTTAAGATAATATTAAAGTTCAGCTGTGATTTCTAAGTACATACTAACAGGACAATGAGGCACAGTAACCTAGAAGCATTACATGATGTGGATGTGGGTGGAATGGGGCCCTGATTAAAAATACAATGTGTTGTTGGCAACACAGTAAGCAGATACTCCAAATATGCATAATCTGGACTTAATTACAGAATTGGATAAAGCAGTAGCTTCATTTTGCAGAGTAGTGGTCATATTAGGGAGGCCGAAGCCCAATTTTGTTGGTTATCTAAACCAGGGAAGAGGAGATTTCAAATAATTTCAGAACGGTCTCTTGCTGCCTCTCAAAATTCATCAAGACCATTCCTTTTTGTTGGGGTCCTCAAAAGAGAATTTTTAAATTTTTTATTATTAAAAATTTCGAATATGTTGTTACAAAAGTAGAGGGAGCAATGTAAAAACTTCATGTACTCTTATGTAGCTTCAACATTTAATAGTCCATAGCCAACCTTGACTAATTTACATCTTTAATTTCTCCCCAGCTCCATGCCTCAAATTCTTTTGAAACAAATCTCAGACTCCATATAATTTCATTTCTAAGTATTTCAGAATGTATCCCTAAACGATATGAACTCTTGGAGTTTCACTCTTGTTGCCCAGGCTGGAGTGCAATGGTGCAATCTCGGCTCACTGCAACCTTTGTCTCCCGGGTTCAAGCAATTCTCCTGTCTCAGCCTCCTGAGTACCTGGGATTACAGGCGTGCGCTGCCATGCCAGGCTAATTTTGTATTTTTAGTAGAGATGGGGTTTCTCCATGTTGATCAGGCTGGTCTCGAACTCCCAACCTCAGGTGATCTGCCCACCTGGGCTTCCCAAAGTGCTGGGATTACAGGTGTGAGCCACCACGTCCAGCTGATATGAACTCTTTTTAAATATAACCACACTACTTTTATCCCACCTTAAAAATTAACACTAATTCTTTAATATCATTTATTATATCATATATTATCAGTCAGAAATCATGGGACTTTGAGTTTTAAGAAAGGAAATTCATTATTTGAGTCTCATATTACAAATTAGTTGTTTTGCTTCCATAACACAACAGTTTCATGAGGACTCTTAACGACATTCATTGTGGATTTATATGGTTGACACGTTTTGTGATATGTGGTAGTAACTTTTAGAATGAGAATGTGTCACCTTGTTGAAAAATAAAAATCACACCATCATTATGTTCCTACTCCATCTTCATTGATTCATTTGGATAAGTGTTTTCCAAACTTATTGGTGTCAATGAAATTGTATGTGGATGGCCATCATATAAAACAGATGGAAATGAAATTGCTCTGGGTCCATGATGCCAACCAGTCATTTGGCCTACTCTTTCCCCATGTGGGGCATTGCAGGTTTTGGTATGTGAAATGCTTTCTTAAGTATATACTATTTTCCCATTATGATTTCAGGGTAAGACAAATTGCTGTGTGAAACAGTTTTAAGAATAGAAGATTACACACATAGCCAACATCGAAAAACAAACAACAGTACAGTATTTACTTTTTAAGCTTCCTACCAGCAAAAATAATCTTTCACTTAAAGTAATTAAAATGTTTATTGTAATGGGAAGAGTCCACTGTGCTCATAAATAACGACCCCACTTCTCAGTTGACTACACTGGGGCCTCCTGGGAGGAGATGTATTTGCTTCCTGTCAGGATTAATCTATAAATGCAATCACCACTTAGACCTCATCAGTTCTTTTCTTCCCCTTCATTGGTCCTCTGGACTTATATTGTAGCTCGAATAAGGTCAAATTAGGATACTTTTTCCCCAGGAAAAATATAGCAGTAGCTGTTTCAGTGTTTTAAAATTTGAGAATCAAGCCTAAGAGTCGTGTCTTTAAATAAACTACATATACTTTTCTGTCATAGAATCAACATTCTGTTAAACTAATGATTTCTGCTTGTCAGTATGATGATCAGTTTCTTCCCCACAAAAAGCAGGACACAGAGTGGTCTCACATAAAACCACAGTGGCCTTAAAAGCTTATGTCTAACTTCTGGCACGTAATCTTAATGAGTTGCTATTTGAACTTTGACAAATCACTGAACTTTTGACTTAATCTTCAAATGGGAACCATATTCCTTGCTACCTTCCTCACTGTAATCTTATAAAAGTCATATCATCAACCCGATTCAATTTTCTTTGTCAAGATCTAATAATAAATACCTTTTCTTCTAAGTAGTATAATAGTAGGAAGGATGGAATGAATTCTCCAACTTTCCTAAATTTAAGTAAACTCATCCTGTGGGTCAGAATGTTGCTTTGGAATTTTTTACAAGTTGAATTATATAATTATGTTTACTTCTCGAATGAAGTTGTTTCTGTGGGTTGAAAATATCTCTTCTGTTTCTCTGGTAACCTTCCAAATACCAAATATGTATACAACAGATATTCAGTAAATGCTTAAATACCATTGAGAAGTTTACAGATACAGTGCATCTTATTTGATGCATTAAACTTCTAAGTTAGCTATGAAAGCCAAGCTTTAAGGAAAGAGCAGGAAGCAAGCAATTATTTTTTGCCAGTAATAGACTGTGTAAAAGCTAATATGTTTCACTTGCCTATTTCGATTTACTTATTTTTTAAAAATTTCCTGTATCACACTGTTAGCTCTATACTGGCAAATATTCCTTCATTAGCTAAAAGCAAAGAATAGAATTAACACTAAGTCTCAGATCGCCATCCTCCTTATTAGAGAAAGGAGAAAATGAGAGTTCTTCCGCTTGAAGAGGTACCAAAGAAAGTAAGCAGAGTGGTTCAAAAACAATAATCATCCCCTAAGCCAGGTGATTGGCGTTCTGAGCACATTTGCTCTGCAACTTAGCCGCATTTCACTCAGTCACATAACTCTTACAGAAAGTGTAGAATCCTGAAAGTCTAAAACTGTGCTCATTTTCCAAATCAGCCTGGTGAAATCTAGTTCTTGATTCTCAAATTCAGAATTTCAGTTTTAAGTTTAAGGGCATTAAAACTGCAAGTTATAGAGTGAATAGAAGAAGGCCTGGTTTTCTAAACAAGTCTGTTGGTCTCTGAAGGCTAGCTACACCAAGGCCTCTGTGCTTTGCACAAGCCATGAGGTGCTTAGGCGCGGTGTCGAGAGGTAAGTCAACAAAAAATGAAATGTGCTATCTTTTCTTTGCAGACACATTTTGAGTTTGTTCTCCTTAAGATCAGGCAGGACTAGTAGAATCCTACTGTCGACTGCTTGTCTTACAGAGTCCCTTGCTGCTGGCCTGTACTTAGTTGTCACTCTGTGAATAGCTTGGCATGTGGGTGTTTGCTGTCTTTGCGCCTGCAAAGTGTGCGGACATCCAGGCGGTTCTCCGTTACCATCTCCCTGCCACTTGAGGACATGCAAGTCCTATTTGTTTCCAAGCCAGTAGGAGGCTCCCTGCCAAGACCCATCGGCTGCTGGTGACATGAACACGCTGTGTGAATCACACAGCCACATGGTGGACTTTCATTATGTCAGCCCAGGAGTGTGGTCTGCCAATCCCCAGGCCAGAGGCCCACCCCTAGGCGCCTTTGACATTTTAAGTATAAAATAAATAAAGAGCTTTGTGTGTGTCTCGGAGCAAAGGAGAAGATGAGGGGCTGTGGGTGTTTCTGTCTGATCTGTAATCCGATGGAGGCTCTTCTTTCCTGTCAGCCACTTCAGGGCGCACTTCTCTGACACCTCAGACAGAGGCAGGCTGAGTGCCTGGAGGCAAACAGCTGATTAAACCAAGTTGGCTGGATGCAGTTTTTGTTTTTTTTTTGTCTTGTTTTAAGCAAATGAAATTCACATCTTTTTCCCTGAAAAAGTCTAATAAGTGGTCATAACATTTCAATTATTGAACAGAATTTCTATTCATTAATTGAATATGGATCCAGATAATTATCTAGGAGATAATCCCAGTGGCAAAAACTGCAATTACTTTTGCATCAACTTATTATTACGTGACTTTATACTGGAAAAATATCAGGAACCTGAAGACTTTGCATAGTCAAGCAATTTTATTTCTCAAAAACCTAAATGGTAATGAAGCCAACAAGGAAACCAAATCCAGAGTAAACTAGGAGAGATTGGATAACCTCTTAAAAAATAAAATTTAATTTCTTGAAAACTTTATTGATAGCAATAATTGATACCTATGAAGCACTCACTATGTGCTAGGCAATTTTTTTTGTGTTTTACATATGTTAATTCAGTTGATGCTTATAAAACTGTGAGATTGATCCTATTATTACCGCCCCAACCCCTGCCCCCCCCCGCTTTATTTTTGAGACAGAGTTTTGTCCTGTCACCCAGGCTAGAGTGCAGTGGTGCAATCTTGGCTCACTGCAACTTCCGTCTCCCAGGTTCAAGCGATTCTCCTGCCTCAGTCTCCCGAGTAGCTGGGACTACAGGCGTGTACCACCACGCCTGGCTAATAGTTTGTATTTTTAGTAGAGACAGGTTTCACCGTGTTAGCCAGGATGGTCTTGATTTCCTGACCTTGTGATCCACCTGCCTCGGCCTCCCAAAGTGCTGGGATTACAGGCACGAGCCACCACGCCCGGCCTACATTTTAATTTTTTAAAAAAACTCTTAAGCTTTTTTTGTGAGCAGAAATTCTCAAGTATCTAAGCATGGTATTTTAGGCTCCAGAAGAAATTCACTATTACAGTGTCCTAGTAGCCCAGACCTATGAGAAAACTGAGACATGATTTGCCTAAAGCTACTCAGCTAGTAAGTAGCAGAAATTTAAATCTAGGAAGCCTCACTGCAAAGTGCATGTGCTTAACTTGGCTGTTTATTGATAATCAAGACAGTGAAACCACAATTCTTCATTTCAACATCTTCATTTTTCTGCTCCTGTTATTTCAGAGCCCCCACATCCCATTACTCCAAGACAGATTGCTCCTTTGTGGGCTATCTCTAACTTCAAAGCTACATAGTTCTATGCAAAATAAATTAACTTTCCTGGCTGTGAAAATTATAAATACAGATTTTAAAATACTCTGTTGCAAAACGATCCTTAATCCGCACATTTCCTGGCCTCATCAAAATAATGCAATGCTTCACAGCCCTGACAATTTTATATTACAATATGCTTCATGCTGTTTTCATGTACGTATCACACCAACATCGGGACCCTCCCTCCTCCTACTCCATCCCTGGAGAGATGCAGCAGTTTTGACATTCTGACTCCGTTGGTATAAACAGCGCATTTCCGTTGCCTCACCCACTGTAGCACAGACTAAATGGTCAAGACTACTCCATTTCTTCTTCTGAAGATAAACTATTTCTCTTCCACCAAAATTACTCTTGCTGAGTTTTTCTCCAGACCTCTGGTACCATTTAGTGGAAAGCAAAGTGATCATGCGTTTTCAGGACAAGTCAGGACTCTGCACTCTTATCCTGATCTTCTCTGTCATAGCTTTTGGAAGTCATTCAGCTTACTCCTGCCTCTTCACCTCCATGGCTCAAATTCTTTACCTAGAATATAGGTGGACACTATCTGCCTCTCAGAGAATACATCTCAAGTTGAAGGCTCTTTAAAGTTTATGAAATATTTTCCCCTACTTTATGACTGCCTCCTAGTATCATGATAGTTCTGGATTTGGGGACATATGGGGTGAGTCTATGTGAGCGTTCTCTCATTTGGGGTGCAGAAATGCCAAGAAAACTTTCCTGGAAGTACCATTTTGAAGTCATCAGTGCAGGAGCCTGGAGCCAGGACCAGATGGCAGGCTTGACTCACCTTGACCTGAGATGTCGCTCTTCCAGCTATGTGGGCCAGGCTAATAGTTCGTCAGATGTCACCATGGCTGATGGAGTGGGTAACTGTAGCTGGAGAGTATGAGCGGCAGCCTCTGCAGTGATGGCCTTTTCTTTTTCCTATTTTTTCTTCTTCAGGCCGGGAGGTAACCCATTCATGACCCGGAACACTCTCATTGCACTTCCTTGAGAAGTCAAGTTTGGTAAACACGTGCAGCTGCAGTGAACTGGACAGAGGAGGGTGGGACACAAAGGCAAGAGAGATAGAGGGAAGGGACAGCTTTGGCATCTAATTTCCCATTTTAATAAGGTGTTGTCCTCAGACTGTAAGTGTTGATATGAAAGTGACATAGCAAAGACCTTCATTTTCACTTACAGAATTTCCTAAAATATACTTTGCTTTAAAAAAAAAATCAGACACTTCTTTTTTTTCATTTTTTTTTTATAGAGTCTTGCTCTGTCACCCAGGCTGGAGTGCAGTGGCACGATCTCGGCTCACTGCAGCCTCTGCCTCCCGGGTCCAAGCAATTCTAATGCTTCAGCCTCCCGAGTAACTGAGATTACAAGCACGCGCCACCATGCCCAGCTAATTTTTGTGTTTTTAGTAGAGATGGGGATTTGCCATGTTGGCCAGGCTGGTCTCGAACTTCTGACCTCAGGTGATCTGCCCGCCTCAACCTCCCAAACTGTTGGGATTACAGATGTGAGCCGCTGTGCCCAGTCTTTTATTTCATTTTCTATGTAAATAGAATGAAAAGATAAGTTGAATTTCCTGGCAATCTAGTGTTTCTCAAACTAATAGTTCAAACTGCTTATATATAATCAATTATCTCAATAGACTATGTTTACCATGGATCCCCAACATAAAATGAGGATCTCCTCCTCACAGTCTTTGTTCATGTCATTCTCCAACTAGAATTCTTTTACTCACTTGTCCATCCAGCAATTCCAAATCCTATTCCCTCTAGAATTACCTGTGCAAGTGCCTCTCCCTGCTCTGAAAGGATGTATCTTTTACCACCTCTCAATGGAGTCCCTGGTTCCAACCCTAAAAGCAGTAAATGATATTCATTACCAACCCAATACTTCCAGGCTTGGGTTTTCATTTTATTCTTTTTAATATTTTCATCAAATGCGGAACAACTATCGAGAATTTATAAAATAGATGTGATATACATGGAACATGATGAATACCCAAAGACCAAGCCATAGATTTAAATAGAAAAACATACCACTTGCTTTGAAGTCTCCTCCATGTGCTTCCTTTACATCTTCTTCCTGCTCCCCTCAAAAAATCCACAATTCTGAGTTTTAGTTAATCATTACTTTTCTTTGTAATTTTACTATATACAGTCATCCTTTGGTATCCATGGGAGATTGGTTCCAGGATCTCCAGGATACCAAAATTCTTGGATGCTCAAGTCTCTGATATTATAGAAAATGGCATAATATTTGTATATAACCTACACATATTCTTACCCATAACTTTAAATAATCTCTAGGTTACTTGTAATACCTAATACAATGTAAATGCTATGTAAATAGTTGTTATATTGAATTGGTTTTTTAGTTGTATTATTTTTGTTTTTCTAAATATTTTGATCCACAGGTGGTTGAATTCATAAATGTGAAATGCACAGATACAAAAGGCCAACTGTATATTTGTATCCTGTAACAATATATTGTTTGGTTATAATGTTTGTAAATTTTACCCATGGATTCCTCTGTGACTGCTTTTTATATTTCTAAGATTTACCCATGTTGTTATATGTAACCATAAGTTATTCATTTGTTTATTTTTTCCCAATGTATGAATGTACTTCAATTTCCTTCCTTCCTTCCTTTCTTTCTCTTTCTTTCTTCCTTTCTTTCTCTCTCTTTCTGTCTTCTCTCTTTTTCTTCTTCCTTTCCTTTCCTTTCCTTTTTTTTTTTTTTTTTGAGATAGGGTCTCATTCTGTCACCCAGGCTGAACTGGACTGCAGTGGTGCAATCTCAGCTCATTGCAACCTCTGCCTCCCAGGCTCAAGACATCCTCCTACCTCAGCCTCCTGAGTAGCTGGGACCACAGGTGTGTGCCACCACACCTGGTTAATTTTTGTATCTTTTGTAAAGATGGAATTTTTCCATGTTATTCAGGCTGATCTTGAACTCCTGGGCTCAAGTGATCTGCCTGCCTCAGCCTCCCAAAGTGCTGGGATTACAGGTGTGATCACCGAACCTGGCCATACTTCACTTTTCTAATCCACTCTCCCCATGAAGGACATATGGTTTGTTTCCTTTTGTTTGTTTGCTATTACAAACTGTGTCACTATAAAGATTCTTATACATAGCCCCTAGACACAGATACAAGAATTTCTCTAAATTAGAGTATATACTTAAGAGTGGACACTGGGTCAGTGAGTGTGCATCTTTGATTTTACTGGATAATGCCAAACTGTAGGTTCCAATAATGGTGACTTGGAGTAACTAACACTGACTGTTCTTGATGATTGTTATTATCCATTTACTTTTTTTTCAATCAAGAAGTTGCAAAGGGGCCGGGCATGGTAGCTTACACCTGTAATCTCAGCACTTTGGGAGGCCGAGGCAGGTGGATCACCTAAGGTCAGGAGTTCAAGACCAGCCCAGCCAACATGGCAAAACCCTGTCTCTACTAAAAACACAAAAACTTAGCCAGGTGTGGCAGTGCAGGCCTGTAATCCCAGCTACTTGGGAAGCTGAAGCAGGAGAATTGCTTGAACCTAGGAGGTGAAGGTTTCAGTGAGCCGAGATTGCACCACTGCACTCCAACCTGAGCTACAGAGTGAGACTCTGTCTCAAATAAATAAATAAATAAATAAATAAATAAATAAGTTGTGCAGGGTTTCCCATTGTGGTTTGAACTTGTATTTCCTGATTACTAATGAGGTCAGACACTTTTCATATGTTTATTAGCCATTCACATTTCTTCTCCTGTGAAGTGTCTGTTCAAGTCTTTTGTCTATTCTTTTCCTACTATGTGGTTGGTCTTTTTCTCATTGATTTACAGAAATTCTTTATATATTCAGGGTAGAAATCTTTTGTCAGCTACCAAAGCTACAAATACTGTCTCCCAGTTTGTGATTTTTCTTTCCACTTTTTTTATGGTGTCATTTTACTAATCAGAAGTTTATCCTTAATTACAATATTTTCCCTTACGATTTGCTTGTTTTTTTTCAAGCAATTAAAAATTTATTTCCTAATGAAAGGTATTCTCCGTTAGATATTCTCTTTTACACACTGTGTAGTTTTGTCTTTCACATTTAAGTTTTTAACTAACATTGATTTAAAATAAATAACCAGTTAGCTCAATGCCATATACTGAGCTCTATAATAAATCAAGTTCCCGTATATATGTAAGGTCAATTTTTCTTTTACTGTTTTTTGTTTTGTTTTTGTTTTTGTTTTTTGTTTTCAGACACAGTCTTACTCTATCAGCCAGGGGCTGGAGTGTAATGGCATAATCTTGGCTCACTGCAGCCTCCGCCTCCCAGGTTCAAGTGAATCTCGAGCCTCAGCCTCCCAAGTAGCTAGGATTACAAGCATGAGCCACCATACCCACCTAATTTTTGTGTTTTTAGTAGAGATGGGGTTTCACCATGTTGTCCAGGCTGGTCTCGAACTCCTGGCCTCAAGTGATCCACCCACTTCCGCCTCCCAAAGTGCTGGGATTACAGGCATGAGTCACCATGCCTGGACTGTAAGATCAATTTTTCTAAGTGACAATAATTTTTGCATCATTTAATTATATACTAATTTATTAATTATTGACATTTGGTATAACACTGTGCTCTCCTCATTATTTTTCATCAGGAATGTCTTTATTATTCTTGAACTGTTTTTCCCTACAAATTTTAAAATCACCTTTTTAGGTTACACACAAAGACACACAGACACAAACAGAACTGTTGAGATTTTGACTGGAGTTGCATTAAAGTTACAGACTAATTTGAATGTTGAGTTTTCCAGACCACAAACAGAGTATCTCCTCATGTCTTCCCATGAGGTAAATGTTACAGTTTTTTCTCTGAAAGTCTTGTGCACATGTTAGAATTATTCTCAGATACTTCATGTATATTATTTTTATACCTTACATATTTTGTACCATTGTAAATGGTGTATTTTTATTAAATTTCATTTTCTAAGCATTTGTTGCAAATTTAAGATATTTTGCCTAAGGTTAGATTTATTGGGTTGTTGAACGATTTGTAAAATTTTGTTAGTAAAATTATATGTTTCAAGTCTGCCTTGCTGTCAACCAGTGCTGGATGCTGGGGACTCAGGGAGGCCCACCCGGGCCAGTGGGGGAGACAGCGACACGAGCAGAAGCTGGACCGAGCGGGAGAGGAAGAAGGAGGAGGTCAGGGCTATCAGGATCCAGGTTCTGGGCAAGGGGCAGCCGTTCTCAAATTTTCAGGAAAGCGGTCGGCTCACACTCGGGCAGTAGAAGGATGCCTCTGGGGAGGAGGCCCATGCAGCTATCCAGGAAATGATGGTGGCTGGGCCTAGGGAGGTGGCAATGGAACGGAGACCCTGGTCGGGGATGACATCAAAGGAGGAGACGGGCGGGACCCCAGATTTCTGCCTGTGGGCGATGGAAGTGAGGTTCACTGGGCAGGGAAGCTGGACACAGAACGCTCAAAGGGCTGCATAGACCTCTAGGGCCCAAAGAGCAGGCGGACCCCATCCGTGGGGTAACAGTTTCCTCCTGGAGCACAAAGCAGCAGACTGGAAGTGGGGGCGGAAGTGCACCGCGCTCAACCGCAACTGCGCGCCTCAGTCCGCGAAGTCTGAACTGCCTGACAAAGGGGGACCCGGTGGCAGCGCTCGACTGGAGTCGGTTGAGGTCCTGAGGTCCCCCGGTTCTGGAAGGCTGGCCGGGGAGACAAGAGAGGAGCCTGTGCCATAGGGATTCTAGAAGAGAACAGCGTTGTGTCCCAGTGTGCATGCTCGCATCACTTACCAAGAGCGGCTGAGAGCCTGAGATGTTTGGAGTGTTTTTTTCTCACAGACCCGAATAGCCTGCCCCTCAGCCACCCTCTGTGCCCTCCTGAGAACAGGCTGATATGCCCAAGATAGTCCTGAATGGTGTGACCGTAGACTTCCCTTCCCAGCCCTACAAATGCCAACAGGAGTACATGACCAAGGTCCTGGAATGTCTGCAGATGAATGGCATCCTGGAGAGCCCCGCGGGCACAGGCAAGACGCTGTGCCTCCTGTGCACCACCCTGGCCTGGCGAGAACACCTCCAAGACACCATCTTTGCCTGCAATTTTGCCGATAGGGTGCAAGGGGAGCTTCTCTCAGATCAGGCCTTTGTCATCCTGGGGCAATGCTGCTGCTGATAATGGAGACCCCTTAGCTTGCTACACGGACATCCCAAAGATCATTTACGCCTTTAGGACCCACTCGCAACTCACACAGGTCATCAACAAAATTCAGAACACCTCCTACCGGCCTGAGGTGTGTGTGCTGGGCTCCCGGGAGCAGCTGTGCATCCACCCTGAGGTGAAGAAGCAGGAGAGTAACCACATGAAGATCCACTTGTGCCGCAAGAAGATGGCAAGTCGCTCTGTCATTTCTACAACAATGTAGAAGAGAAAAGCCTGGAGCAGGAGCTGGCCAGCCCCATCCTGGACATCGAGGACTTGGTCAAGAGGGGAAGCAAGCACGGAGTATGCCCTTATTACCTGTCCCGGAACCTGAAGCAGCAAGCCGACATCGTCTTCATCCCATACAGTTAGTTGTTGGATGCCAAGAGCCGCAGAGCACACAACATTGACCTTAAGGGGACGGTCGTGATCTTTGATGAAACTCACAAGGTGAAGAAGACGTGTGAAGGATTGGCATCCTTTGACCTGACCCCCCATGACCCGAGTTCGGGACTGGACGTCATAGACCAGGTGCTGGAGGAGCAGATCAAGGTGGCACAGCAGGGCCAGCCCCAACCGGAGTTCAGCGCGGACCCCACCAGCTCAGGGCTGAACATGGAGCTGGAAGACATTGCAAAGCTGAAGATGATCCTGCTCTGCCTGGAAGGGGCCATCGATGCTGTTGAGCTGCCTGGAGATGACAGCGGTGTCACCAAGCCAGGGAGCTACATCTTTGAGCTGTTTGCTGAAGCCCAGAGCACGTTTCAGACCAAGGGCTGCATCCTGGACTCACTGGACCAGATCATCCAGCATCTGGCAGGACGTGCTGGGGTGTTCGCCAACACAGCCGGACTGCAGAAGCTGGCGGATATTGTCCAGATTGTGTTCAGTGTAGACCCCTCCGAGAATGGCCCTGGTTCCCTGGCAGGGCTGGGGGCCTATAAAGTGCACATCCATCCTGATGCCAGTCACCAGAGGGTGGTTCAGCCATCTGATGCCTGGAGCACCACTGCAGCAGAAAGCGAGGGAAGGTGCTGAGCTACTGGTGCTTCAGTCCTGGCCACAGCATGCGCAAGCTGGTCTGTCAGGGCATCTGCTTTATCATCCTCACCAGTGGCACACTGGCCCCCGGGTCCTCCTTTGCCCTGGAGTTGCAGATCCCTTTCCCAGTCTGCCTGGAGAACCCACACATCATCG
Organism: Homo sapiens; assembly: GCF_000001405.40. Taxonomy (NCBI): domain Eukaryota; kingdom Metazoa; phylum Chordata; class Mammalia; order Primates; family Hominidae; genus Homo; species Homo sapiens. The sequence goes on from NC_000004.12 coordinate 112,357,638, forward strand.
ACAAGCACCAGATCTGGGTGGGGATCATCCCCAGAGGCCCCGACGGAGCCCAGTTGAGCTCCGCGTTTGACAGACGGTTTTCCAAGGAGTGCTTGTCCTCTTTGGGGAAGGCTCTGGGCAACATCGCCCGCATGGTGCCCTATGGGCTCCTGATCTTCTTCCCTTCATATCCCATCATGGAAAAGAGCCTGGAGTTCTGGCAGGCCCACTACTTGGCTAGGAAGATGGAGGCGCTGAGGCCGCTGTTTGTGGAGCCCAGGAGCAAAGGCAGCTTCTCTGAGACCATGGGTGCTTACTAAGCAAGGATTGCCTCCCCCGGGGTCTACCGGCGCCACCTTCCTGGCGGTATGCCGGGGAAACACTAGCGAGGGGCTGGACTTCTCAGACACTAATGGCAGTAGTGTGATCATCACGGGCCTCCATAGCCCCCACGCATGGACCCCCTGGTTGTCCTTAAGATGCGAGATGAAGGGCCAGGTTGGGGCTGGGGGCCAGTTCCTCTCTGGGCAGGCGTCCAGGGCTGTGAACCAGGCCATCGGGCAAGTGATCTGGCACTGCCAGGACAACAGGGCTGTCTTCCTCTGTGACCACAGGGTTGCCTTTGCAGACGCCAGAGCCCAGCTGCCCTCCTGGGTGCGTCCCTACGTCAGGGTGTACAACTTCGGCCATGTCATCCAAGACGTAGCCCAGTTCTTCCGTGTTGCTGAGCGAACTATGCCAGCACCGGCCCCCTGGGCTGTAGCACCCAGTTTGCGTGAGGCAGAAGATGCTGTCAGGGTGACTAAGTCAACTGGCCCCCTCCTCTCCACCAGGAAAGCTAAGAGTCTCGACCTGCACGTCCTTAGCCTGAAGCAGAGGCCCTCAGGGTCACCAGCTGCTGGGGACCCGGAGGGCAGCCTGTATATGGAGTATGAGCAGGAGCCAGACCCTGCCTGGCAGAGGCCCTGGGGGCTGCTGGCCGCCCTGGAGCACAGCGAACAGTGGGCTGGGGGGCCCTGGCGAGGAGCAGGCCCACAGGTGCTCCACCCTGTCTCTCCCATCTAAGAGGCTGGCAGAGGAGCCGCAAGGAAGGAGGAAGAAGATCCAGCTGGTCAGCCACTCGGAGGAGCCCGTGGCTGGTGCACAGATGAACACGGCCAAGCTCTTCATGGTGGCCATGAAGTAGGAGCTGAGCCAAGCCAACTTTGCCACCTTCACCCAGGCCCTGCAGGACCACAAGGGTTCCGATGACTTTGCTGCCCTGGCGACCTGTCTTGGCCTCCTCTTTGCTGAAAACCCCAAGAAGCACAGCCAGCTCCAGGGCTTCTACCAGTTTGTGCAGCCCCACCACAAGCAGCAGTTTGAGGAGGTCTGTATACAGCTAACAGGACAAGGCTGTGGCTATCGGCCAGAGCACAGCATTCCCCAAAGGCAGCGGACACAGCCAGCCCTGGACCCCACTGGAAGGACAGCGCCGGATCCCAAGCTGACCCTGTCCAAGGCTGTGGCCCAGCAGCTGGATCCCAGAGAGCACCTCAACCAGGGCAGGCCCCACCTGTCCCCCAGGCCACCCCCCACAGGAGACCCTGGCAGCCACCCACAGTGGGGGTCCAGAGCGCCCAGAGCAGGGAAGCAGGGCCAGCATGCCATGAGCGCCTACCTGGAAGATGCCTGCAGGGCCCTGGAGTCTACAGGCTGTAGCCAGCTCTTGGCAGTGCTGACAGCCTACAAGCAGGATGATGACCTGGACAAGGTGCTGGCCCTACTGGCTGCCCTGACCACTGCGAAGCCTGAGAACATCCCCCTGCTGCAGAGGTTCAGCATGTTCGTGCATCCATACCACAAGCAGCACTTCTTGCCGACATGCACAGACCTGGCCAGCCAGCCCAACCCAGGCATGGAGCCGCCAGGACCCCAAGAGGAGAGCCTTGCCACGCCTCCTATGCTCACCCACGGGGCTTCCCAACCAGACCGCTCATGGTGCAAGAAGCCTGGGAAGACCCAGAGCAAGATCTCATCATTCCTCAGACAGAGGCCAGCAGGGGCCTTGGGGGAGGATGGTGCGGCTGCAGGGCGAAGCCAGTCCCCTGGACTTTCCCACGGGCATGCAGTATCTGAGTGGGGCCTCTAGGACGTGCCCAACCTGCACACTGCCTCCAGGAAGCAGAGCATCATGCAGGTCTTCTGGCCAGAGCCCCAGTGGGTGCCCATGGAGGCCCTCAGCATGCCCAGCGTGGCTTGATCACCTGCCTGTCCAGCTCTGGTGGGCCAAGAACTCACCCAACAGAATAGGCCAGAGAACACTTAAAATCTACTCTTAGCAATTTGCAAGCATACAATATAATTATTTTCAATAACTATAGTTATTAACTATAGTCACCAGATACAACAGACCTCTTGAGTTCATTGCTCCTCTCTAACTGAAATTTTGTATCCTTTGACCAACTTCTCCCCAGGCCCTGACCCCATCCCTGCATCTTCTAGTAACCCCCATACTGCTCTATGTTTCTATGAATTCAACATTTTTAGATTTCACAAATATGTGAGATCATATGTTATTTGTCTTTCTGTATCTGTCTTATTTCATTTAACATAACATCCTCCAGGATCATCCATGTTGTTGCAGATGACAGGATTTCCTTCTATTTTAAGGCTGAGTAATATTCCATTGTGTGTATATATATATGACATTTTCTTTGTCCATTTATCCTTGATGGAAATTTAGGCTGGTTCCATATCGTGGCTATTGTGAATAATGCGGCCATGAATATGGAAGTGCAGAAATCTCTTCTATGCATTGTTGTTGCTGTAGCTTTATATTAAGTACAATGTTTTTTTGTGTGTGTATGGAAATTTAGGTTGGTTCCATATCTTGGCTATTGTGAATAATGCTGCAATGAATATGGGAGTGCAGAAATCTCTTCAATACATTGTTATTGTTGTAGCTTTATATTAAATACAATTAATGATTGCTTAGATTTTGCCAATAATCTACAAGTTTTTTGCTGATTAGTTCTGCTTGACGCTCAAGCCCTTGATAGTGATCTTTCTTCTCTCTAAAGTACATACTTTAGAAATTTGTTTAGTGAGGATCTATTGGTGTTTCTTTTAAAATACTTTTATTTTGCAGGTTTTCTCCCCCAGCATATGAAAGATACCCTTTTGCTGTCTTCTTGTTTACATTTTTGCTTTTAGGTAACCAACTGTATGTAAGTCCTTTGTTGTTTCTTTGAAGGTAATTTGTCTTTTCTCTCTAGCTGCTTTAAAGATCTTCTATGTCTTTGGTGTTCCATGGCTTCATTATGATATTTTTCTACATGGATATTTATTTGTTATTTATCCTGCTTAGAGATCCTGAATATTTTGGTTACTGTTGGCCCTTCCTATTCTCAAATTGCACATCCACAGACTTAACCAACCATGGATTGAAAATATTTGAAAAAAGAGATAAGCAGAAAATGGTGGATAGGAGGCAGGACTAACTTGCAGCTCTCACTCAGATGGACAGAACAGCATGCAGAGACCCACATTTGTGAACTTTTACTCCAAGAACCACCACAGAACATACCAGGAAAGCCGAGACAATCCACAGACCCTTTGAAGGAGGTGGATTGCTGCTGCAGGCTCTGTGGGACAGCCGAGGAACTGTGAGTCAGCTTGCTTTCTCAGTTGGGAGGCTTGTAACCTGTGACAAGTTCTCAGCCCTGCTCACTGGCTGCCTGGAAATAAACCTGGTGCTGTTGGGGGGAGGGGCACAGTGGAAGTGAGACTGGCATTTAAGGCTGTAGGCTGCCAGGAAGCCGGGTGAGGCCTGTGGCTGCTGGCATTCCCCCACTTCTCTGGCAACCTGTGTGTGTAATGCAGCAGAGACAGACTTAATCCCCCTGGGAGCATAACTTCATTGGCCTGGGAACAAGACCCCCATCCCCCACAGCAGCTGCAGCAAGCCAGGGCCAAGGAGAGTCTGAGCTTAGACACGCCTAACCCTGCCCCCATCTGATGACCTTTCACTACCTTCCCTGGTAGGGAAGACAAAGGACATACTCTCTTGAGAGCTGTATGGCTCCACCCACTGCCTGACTCTAGGGCAAGCTTGTATCCTCCCTATACAACCACAGTTGATGCACTCTTGAAAGTGCCACCTCCTGGCTGGAGGCCAACGAACACAAAACCGGTGCACTAAACAAAAACACAAGCAAGGACCCTCACTGAGTCCACTTCATTCCCCTGCTACCTCCACTGGAGTAGGTGCTGGTATCCATGGCTGAGAAGCCTGAAGATGGATCACATCACAGGACTCCGTGCAGACACTCCCCAGTACCAACCTGGAGCCCAGTAGCTCTGCTGGGTGGCTAAATCAAGAAGAGCAATAACAATCACTGCAGTCTGGCTCTCAGGAAGCCCCATTCCTAGGGGAAGGGGGAGAGCCTCACATCAAGGGAGCACCTATGGGACAAAAGAACCTGAACAGCAGATCTGAGTCCTAGATCCTCCCTCTGACATAGTCTAACCAAATGAGAAGGAACCAGACAAACAATTCTGGTAATATGACAAAACAAGGTTTTTTATCACCCCCAAAAGATCACACTAGCTCACCAGCAATGGATCCAAACCAAGACAAAATCTCTGAATTGCCAGAAAAAGAATTCAGAAGGTCGATTATTAAGCCAATCAAGGAGCCACCAGAGAAAGGTGAAGTCCAGCTTAAGGAAATCAAAAAAATGATACAAGATATTAATGGAAAAATCTCCAGTGAAATAGCATAAATAAAAAACAACCACAACTTCTGGAAATCAAGGACACACTTAGAGAAATGTAAAATGCACTGCAAAGTCTCAGCAACAGAATTGAACTAGTAGAAGAAACAGCTTCAGAGCTCAAACACAAGGCTTTCAAATTAAACCAATCTGACAGACAAAGAAAAAAGAATTAAAAAAAAATGAACAGAGACTCCAAGAAGTCTGGGATCATGTTAAAGGACTAAACCTACAAATAATTGGTATTCTCAAGGAAGAAGAGAAATCTAAAAGTTTGGAAAACACATTTAAGGGAATAATCAAGAAAAAGTTCCCTGTCCTTGCTAGAGATCTAGATATTCACATACAGGAAGCTCAAAGAACACCTGGGAAATTTATTGCGAAAAGATCATCACCTAGGCACATAGTCATCAGGTTATCTAAAGCCAAGACGAAGGAAAGAATCTTAAGAGCTGTGAGGCAAAAGCATCAGGTAATCTGTTAAGGAAAACTTATCAGATTAACAGCAGATTTCTCAGCAGAAACCCTACATGCTAGAAGGGATTGGAGTCCTATCTTTAGCCTCCTTAAACAAAACAGTTGTCAGCCAAAAATTTTGTATCCAGCAAAATTAAGCTTCATAAATGAAGGAAAGATACAGTCTTTTTCAGACAAACAAATGCTGAGAGAATTTGCCACTACCAAGCCAGCACTGCAAGAACTGCTAAAAGGAGCTCTAAATCTTGAAACAAATCATTGAAATACATCAAAATAGGATTTCCTTAAAGATTAAATCTCACAGGACCTATAAAACCGTAACATAATGGAAAAACACCAAGGTATTCAGGTAACAAATAGCATGATGAATAGAATAGTACCTCACATCTCAATACTAATGTTGGATGTAAACGGCCTAAATGCTCCACTTAAAAGATACAGAATAGCAGAATGGATAATAACTCACCAACCACATAAGGACTCACATAAACTTAAGGTAAAGGGGTGGAAAAGATATTGCATGCAAATGGACACCAAAAGTGAGCAGGAATAGCTATTCATGTATTAGACAAAACAAACTTTAAAGCAACAGCAGTTAAAAAAGAAAAAGGAATAGTGGATAATGATAAAAGGACTAGTCCAACAGGAAAATATCACAATCCTAAATAAATATGCATCTAACACTGGAGCTCCCAAATTTATCAAACAACTACTACTAGACCTAAGAAATGAGATAGACAGCAACACAATAATAGTGAGGGACTTCAGTACTCCACCGACAGCACTAGACAGGTCATCAAGAGAGAAAGTCAACAAGGCAACAATGGATTTAAACTATACAACAAATGGACTTCACAGATATTTACAGAACATTGTTATTGTTCTACTGAACAACCACAGAATATACATTCTATTCATCAGTGCATGGAACTTTCTCCAAGATAGGCCATATGATAGGCCACAAAACAAGTCTCAACAAATTTAAGAAAATCAAAATTATATCCAGTACTCTCTCAGGCTGCAGTGGAATAAAATTGGAAATCAACTCCAAAAGGAACCATCAAGACCATGCAAATACATGGAAATGAAATAACCTGCTCCTGATCGATTGTTGGGTCAACAGTAAAATCAAGATAGAAATTTTAAAATTCTTTGAACTGAATGATAATAGTGACACAACCTATCAAAACCTCTGGGATACGGAAAAGGCGGTGCTAAGAGGAAAGTTCATAGCATTAAATGTCTACACTAAAAAGCCTGAAAGAGCACAAATAGGCAATCTAAGGTCACGCCTCAAGGAACTAGAGAAACTAGAACAAAGCAAACACAAACCCAGCATTAGAAAAGAAATAACAAAGATCAGAGCAGAACTGAATTAAATTAAATATATATATTTATATACAAAAAATAAATAAAACAAAAAGCTGGTTCTTTGAGAAAATAAATAAAACCGTTAGACCATTAGTGAGTTAACCAATAAAAGAAGAGAGAAGATCCAAATAAGCTCAATTAGAAAAGAAATGGAAGATACTACAACTGATACCACAGAAATACAAAAGATCATTCAAGGCTACTATGAATACCTTTACATGCATAAACTAGAAAACCTAGAGGAGATGGATAATTTCCTAGAAATATACAACCCTCCTAGATTAAACCAGGAAGAAATAGAAACTCTGAAAAGACCAATAACAAGCAGTGAGATTGAAATGGTAATTACCCCAAAAAATAAAAGTCCAAGACCAGATGGGTTCACAGCTGAATTCTATCAGACATGCAAAGAAGAATTGGTACCAGTCCTATTAACACTATTCCAAAAGACAGAGAAAGAGGGAATCTTCCCTAAATCATGCTATGAACCCACTATTGCCCTAATACCAAAACCAGGAAAAGATATCACAAAAAAAGAAAACTACAGACCAATTTCCCTGATGAACATAGATGCAAAAATCCTCAACAAAATACTAGCTAACAGAACCCAACAGCATACCAAAAAGATAATCCACCATGATCAGGTGGGTTTCATACCAGGGATGCAGGGATGGTTTAACATACACAAGTCAATAAATGTGATACACCACATAAACAGAACTAAAAACAAAAATCACATGATCATCTCAATAGATGCAGTAAAAGCATTTAACAAAATCCAGTATTACTTTATGATTGAAACCCTCAGCAAAATCAGTATAGAAAGGCCATACCTTAAGGTAATAAAAGCTGTCTATGACAAACTGACAGTCAACATCATACTGAATGTGGAAAAGTTGAAAGCATTCCCCGAGAGCTGGAACAAGACAAAGACGCCCACTTTCACCAGTTCTATTCAACATAGTGCTGGAAGTCCTAGCCAGAGCAGTCAGCCAAGAGAAAGAAATAAAGGGCATCCAAGTTGGTAATGAGGAAGTCAAACTGTCACTGTCTGTTGATGACATGATTGTATACCTATTATAGAAAACCCTAAAGACTCATCCAAAAAGCTTCTAGAACTGGTAAATAAATTCAGCAGTTTCAGGGTACAAAATTAATGTACACAAATCAGTAGCCCTACTATATACCAATAGTGACCAAGCTGACATTCAAATTGAGAACTCAAGCCCTTTTACAATAGATGCAAAAGAAATACAATACTTAGGAATATACCTAACCAAGGAGGTGAAAGACATCTGCAAAGAAAACTACAAAACACTGCTGAAAGAAATCACAGACAGCACAAACAAATGGAAACATCCTGTGCTCATGGACTGGTAGAATCAGTATTGTGAAAATGACCATACTGCCAAAAGCAGTCTATAAATTCAATGCAATTCCCATCAAAATACTGCCATCATTCTTCACAGAACTAGAAAAAACAATCCTAAAATTCATATGGAACCAAAAAAGAGACCGCATAGTCAAAGCAAGACTAAGCAAAAAGAACGAATCTGGAGGCATCACATTACCTGATTTCAAACTATACTATAAGGCCATAGTCACCAAAACAGCATGGTACTGGTATAAAAATAGGCACATAGACCAATGGAACAGAATAGAGAACCCAGAAATAAAGCCAAATACTTACAGTTAACTGATCTTCGACAAAGTAAACAAAAACATATAGTGGGGAAAGGACACCCTATTCAACAAATGGTGCTGGGATAATTGGCAAGCCATATGTAGAAGAATAGAACTGGATCCTCATCTGTCTATATATACAAAAATCAACTCAAGATGGATTAAAGACTTAAATCTAAGACCTAAAACCATAAAAATTATAGAAGATAACATTGGAAAAATCTTACTAGACATTGGCTCAGGCAAAGACTTCTTGACCAAGAACCCAAGAAAATCAAATGCAACAAAAACAAAGATAAATAAATGAGATTAATTAAACTAAAAAGCTTCTGCACAGCAAAAGTAACAATCAGCAGAGTAAACAGACAACCTTGAAAATCTTCTCAATCTGTACATCCAACAAGGGACTAATTTCCAGAATCTACAAATAAACAAATCACCAAGAAAAAAAAACAAACAATTCCATCAAAAAGTGGGCTAAGGACATGAATAGACAGTTTTCAAAAAAAGATATACAAATGGCCAACAAACATATGGAAAAAAAATGCTTAACATCATTAATGATCAGGAAAATGCAAATTTTAGCCATTATGTGATACCACCTTACTCCTGCAAGAATGGACATAATCAAAAAATCAAAAAATAATAGATGTTGGCATGGATGTGGTGAAAAGGGAATAATTTTACACTGCTGGTGGGAATGTAAACTAGTACAACTATGGAAAATTGTGTGTAGATCCCTTAAAGAACTAAAAGTAGAACTACCATTTGATCCAGCAATCCCACTCCTGGGTATCTACCCAGAGGAAAAGAAGTCATTATATGAAAAAGATACTTGCACATGCATGTTTATAGCAGCACAATTCACAAATGCAAAAATATGGAAACAGTCCAAATGCCCATCAATCAATGAGTGGGTAAAGAAATTGTGGTATATATACACCATGGACTACTACTCAGCCATAAAAAGAAATGAAATAATGGCACTTGCAGCAACCTGGATGGAATTAAAGACCATTATTCTAAGAGAAGTAACTCAGGAATGGAAAACCAAACGTCGTATGTTCTCACTCATAAGTGGATGCTAAGCTATGAACACACAAAGGCATAAGAATGCTACAGTGGACTTTGAGGACTCAGGGGAAAGGGTGGAAGGTGGGTGAGGAATAAAAGACTACACATTGGGTACAGTGTACAGTGTTCGGGTGATGGGGTTCACCTAAATCTCAGAAATCACCACTAAAGAACTTATTCATGTAGCCAAACACCACCTGTTCCCCAAAATGCTATTGAAATAAAATAAATAAGTAAATAAAAGGTAGATTATGAAACAGTGTATACACGGTTGATCCCAACTGTAATTTGAAAAACATGTGTATGCCTATAAAAAAGAACAGTAGACTATACATCAGAATATTAACTGGTTATTTCTAGTGTTGGGATCAAGGAGAATTTTAGTTTTCCTTTTTATCTGTATTTTTTTACTAGTTTCTGTCTTACGCTTAATTATGATAAAAGATTTTTTTTATGTAAAAAATGAAAATACAAAAAATATCAAAAAATAATACAAATTAAAAATACAGCATAACAACTATTTACATTAGGTATCATAAGTAATCTAGAGATGATTTAAAATATAGGGGCAAATGTGCAACTACTACACCATTTTATATAAGAGACTTGAACATTCTTTGAAAGTGGTATCTGAGGAGGGTCCCAGAACCATTCTCCCGTGGATACAGAAAATGACTATATTTCTGTCTCCTGTTCAAAAAATTTGCAATCACAATTATCTCTCCAAATGGTTCTACTGCTGCTCCCTCTTCTTCCCATCTAAGACTCTGATTAGACATATGTTAGACCTTTTCTACAAATTATTTCCTGTTTTTTAGCCTGTCTTCATATATTCTATTTCTCTGCCTTTTTTCTGTTGAATTCTAAGTGATATATTCTGATTTATTATCCAGTTCAAAAATTCTATCTTCAGCTAGAGCTAATTATTTTTTTTTCTTTTGGAGACGGAGTCTCACTCTGTTGCCCAGGCTGGAGTGCAGTGGCATGATGTTGGCTCACTCCAACCTCTGGCTCCCAGGTTTAAGTGATTCTCCTGCCTCAGCCTCCTGAGTAGCTGGCCACCTATAATTCATTGCACCACCACGCGCACCACCACGCCTGGCTAATTTTTGTATTTTTAGTAGAGACAGGGTCTTGCCATGTTGGCCAGGCTGCTCTCGAACTCCTGACCTCAAGTGATCCACCCACCTCCACCTCCCAAAGTACTGGGATTACAGGCATGAGCCACTGATCCCCACCTAGAGTGAATATTTTTATCGAATCTATGCATTCATTGAATTTTTAATTTTTAATTTTTATATTTTTATTTCTAGAAATTCTTATTCTTAATCTGCTTATGCTTTCTCTATAGCTTATGCTGTTTATTAATATTTTCAACACATTAATTCAGTTCCTTAAACATATTAAACATATATTTTATAGTCTATATCTGTTAACTCCATTATCTAAAGTCTTTGTGGGTCTGATTTTAGTATCTGTTGTTTCTGCTTTCATTCATGATTTCTTTTTGCCTTATGTATTTTGTGACATTTGATCAGGAGCTCATGCGTCTTAGTATTTTATGGGTGGGAATTCTTTGAAGCTTGGATTGAGGTTAATTTTTTAAAGAAAGGATTATATTTAGTCACACCAGTTGACTGGGAACACTACTAACCTAATCATTTTGAATAATTTATTTTAAATTAATCATTAGCTAGAGGTGTTATGGACTTTGTGGCTTCAAATTCTCAAGGGAAAAATTTTTGTTCCCCTCCATCAAGCAGCATGTTTTGCCACAGACAATTTTCCTGGGAGGTGAGGGGAGAGGATGAGGATTTATTTTTTAGCTCACTCTTATACTGAAGGTGCGACCTTTTAGGATCTCAGTTTTATGCATGGGGTGTGCAGTCTCCACTTAAATTCCTACCTCAGTTAAGGCCTTTGGTTTCATTTTCTCCCCTCTCACCTTACAAGACAGTGAAACCAGTTTTAAGTTCACAGTTTGGCAAATACAATCAAGGCAACGGCTAGCTTCTATATTGCAGGTAACTTTTTAGGTTTCAGCCTTTACTTCTTTTTTTGTTTTCTGAGTACTGCTTCCTCTCTTGACATTTTATTGACATATTTTAGAGATTTAAAATGTTTTTGCAGCATTTTTTATTGTTTTCAGTGGGAGTGTTAGATAGTCTTCCTCAATGCTAGAAATAGAAGTCTACTTTTTTATGTTTTTGGTGACTTAGAAGTTGCCTTCTCCCTTTTAATGCAGTTTTAAAATGCTGACAAATGCCTGTTACCCAATAATATCTTTCTGAGCCCCACACTTGCCTTACTCTCCAGTCAGCTGCCTCTTTCTCCATTTGTTTCCCCACTTCTACTGCCAATCAGTGCAAGAGGCAATATGGTGATAGTTTATGTCTATGGGTGCTCAGAGAAGAGTGAAATGGTGGGAACAGCTGGATTGTCATTGCTTGGTGCCTGATTAGAGAAATGTATTCTTGTTGTACATTAGAGACCAGAATACCTTTTCCTATAGAAACAATATGAGAAATGAGTGTAGATTAAAAAGACGTTTTAGATTAGCTGGGCATGGTGGTGCATGCCTGTAATCCCAGCTACTCAGAGGCTGAGGCACAAGAATCGCTTGAACCCAGGAGGCAGAGGGTTGCAGTGAGCCGAGATTGCACCACTCCACTCCAGCCTGGGTGACAGAGTGATACTCGGTCTCAAAAAGAAAAAGAAAAGAAAATTTGTTTTATAATAATTATTCATGTACATATGAATTAAATAGGCTCTGTGGGCTTGCTTATGAATCTAACCAAGGGTTAATTGAATTCCAACATAGATAATTTAAATTGAGCTTGCAGAGTACAATTGTGTATTATATGCCCTGTATATTTATCTAGTTTACCTTTTAGTATATTTGCATCTTATCCTTCTAATTATATTGTAAATTCCTTGACAGTAAAGATCATCGCTCATATTTCTTTACCTTTCTCCACATCTTCTAGCTTGGGGATTCTGACTAGTTGGCTAGTGGGTTATAATAGCAGTGGCAACCAGTAGACAATGGAATATCTCTGGAGTCATTTTATTTTCCTTGACATATTCCCTAATAGGGGTACTAATTGTCCAGTGAAAAAGACTCAAACACAGATGCTAAAAGAAATGGAGCTTTGAATAATCCACTGGTTTGGTTACTTTTTATAATAGCTGATTTGTCAATTATCCCATAACTAAGCCACTCAACTAAATTCTAAGTTACCAATAGAACTGAAGAATTTGTATATCAAAATCACATACAGCATGTATAAACACATGACCCCTTAGCTGTGAGTGTGCACATGTGCCTTAAAGTGTATCACTCTAACTTTTTTGGGTATTTATTCCAGAATTATCTGTTTTTATGGTCTGATTGCTTTTCCTGGACCCTTTCTATTTGATTTTTAAGGAAAAAAAAAATACAGGGGAGGGATGTTAAAAGAGAAAAAGTAATTCATTGATTACCAAACATACTGGGGAATTCCCATTGTTTAAATGTAAAAACAATATACAGCTCACAGAATGCCACAGTTCAGGGGAGGAAAAACTGATATGTGTTGAGATTGAAAATGATTCCTTTATAAATGAAGTTGACCAAAATTTCCAGCAGGACTGTTGCCTGAAGGAAAGTTCCTGGGCTCCAGCCTCTGTTATGCCTAACAATGAGCCATACAAGTCTGGACAGATGGTTGGATTCCAAAGCGTTTCTCATGTTACAGTATTTTCTTCCTATTGTCTCCTCTGAATTCTACAGAGAAAAGGGAAAATGCTGTGACTTTCAAAAAGTATGAAGAATGTCTTCAGTACATTTCTGGGGAATTGCAAGTACTAAACATGAATTACCTTGGAAATCTCTTCTTCTTTTTAGAAATGTTGTCTTGGCTAAAATATGGTTTCTTATTGTGGATGATATGATTTATCTAACTTACTTTTATATGTAGAAATACAGAATAGATGCATTTATGTCTTTTCCTGGAAGATCTCTTCTACGCTTCTTGTCTCAAAACATGGTAACATTGTCCACTCAGTTTTGAGCTATGGTGAAGGAGAAACTGATACTCATTCTTAATAACATTCATATCTATCCAATACCAATATTGCATTTATTCCCCAGACAGCTCTCAATTCTGTCCAGTTTTCTACATCTCTAATACTATCGCTCTGGTCGAAAGTCCTGATACTTTCCACGTGAATTTTTGCAATTATACCTAACTGATCTTCCTGCAGTTACCTCCCGGCAAACCCCCACCCTAACGTACGCACTACAGCTAAAACAGAGTGATTTTTTCCAAATGCACATCTGACCCTGGTCCTCCTGCTACCAGTAGTTTCCTAGCACTCTTAAGGTGAAGATACAATTTTTTACCAGGCACACATAGGCCTGCACAGCCCGTATTTACCTCTCCAGTCCCACCTCATATCAACTTTCTCCTTTTATCGCTAGTTCAGCCAACCTCTCTGTCTTTCATTCCCTCTCTAGTTCCTTCTACATAACAGCCATTCCCCACCATTTTAACTTCATTAAGCCTTATCACTCTTTCAAAGCTTAATTCAGGCATCACATTCTCAAAGAAGCCTCCCTTGATCTGCCCTAGCTTTACTCAAGTGATTAGGTCAAGTCCTGTTGTTTGCCTTCATACAACTGCATGCCCTATCTCTCTTTCACATCACTTAGACAAAAGGAAGAGATTTATGATCTTGTGCATCAGGAATTGGTGTTGCAAGTGAGGAAACCAAAGCAAATAAGTATATTTAGTAATCGACTTCTAAAATTCAAGCCAATATTTCTAACCACACAAAAATATACATACATAAAAACGATATGTAAGGGTTCTCAAAAGAGCTAGGGAATTTCTTAATAAACAAATATCAAATATTATTTGGCAATAAACAACATGGTCTATTTAGACTGCTGCTGAGTATGTAATTTAAGAGCTAGAAGCATCTTAACAATTGTTCCAACCAATTCCTTCAAAAATACAGATGAGAAAAGTCAATCTCAAAAGTGAATCTCAGAAGTCTTACAAATAGTTAATGATAGAGTATAAAGTGGAATTAATCAACAAATATCTGTTGAACACTCTTGTGTGCATTCGTTTCCTATTTCTGGGTCCTCTTTTCATTACTATATGCTGTTTCTACTTAAGTCGTTTACAGTAACTGAGTAATTAAAATTTACTTCAATTTGTCAATATAAAGAAAACTACTTTCTTCCTTTTTTTTTTTTTTTCTTTTGAGATGGAGTCTTGCTCTGTCGCTCAGGCTGGAGTGCAGTGGCGTGATCTTGGTTCACTGCAGGCTCCACCTCCCAGGTTCATGCCATTCTCCTGCCTCAGCCTCCCAATAGCTGTGACTACAGGCGCCAGCCACCACACCCGGCTAATTTTTTGTATTTTTAGTAAAGACCGGGTTTCTCCGTAGCCAGGATGGTCTCAATCTCCTGACTTCATGGTCCACCTGCATTGGCCTCCCAAAGTGCTGGGATTACAGGCGTGAGCCACCACGCCTGGCCTACTTTCTTTTTTAATTTTATTTTAATTGACAGATTAAATTATATATCTTTATGGTCATACATTATAGAATGGTTAAATCAAACTAATTAACATTATCTCACATACCATTATTTGTGGTGAGAACACTTAAAATCTACTCTCTTAGCAATTTGCAGGTATATAATATATTGTTTTTAACTATCATCACCGTGACATCCCATAGATCTCTTGAACTTTTTCCTCCTGTCTAACTGAAATTTTGTATCCTTTGACCAACACCCTCCCTAATTCCCCCCATCCTGCAGTCTCTGGTAACCACAACCCTACTCTCTGCTTCTATGAGTTCAACAAAAGACCACTTTCTACCTTAAGGGAATGATACAGCACTAAGAAAACATAAGCCTTTAGACAAAAGGATGATGTGCTACTAAAATTATATGATATTGTGGTTTTATTTCTTTGTGCACGAGCTCTTCCTATTTCTTTATTACACCTCTCTTTCTCGATGTAGTTCTACAAAAGAATGCTAGGAAACAGAACTCCCTTCTTGCTTTAATTTTGGACTTGAAGAAAAATGAGTCTCCAACTTATCTGCAGCTCACGCCAAGCAAAGTTTGTTCTTAATCTTCTAAACCACCAAATGTATATTTTAATCTCAATGCTAACCTCCCATTTTAGCCAATGTCTCCCTCTGTCAAGGAATGATGGGAATGAGATATCATTTCTTCATTGCTTCAGGGCCTCTTGTTCACTGTAGCCCACTAATTAGCTCTTTTATCAGCTCACTGCGGTACTCAGAAGGAATGAACATATGCTCCTGTACTCTTTGCAATAGCAGTATGAGGATAAAATTCTGAGCAGCCTTTACTGCTCAGTTCTTTTCCTAGGTAGGCAGGCTAATAGCCAGCTTGTGGCATAAAACGTTGTGACTTATAGACATTTGAGTTAAAAGGGACATTGGAAACCTTTTAGTTCAACACCCAATCCATGCAGAAATACCTTTTTGAAGTATCCCAAACAGAAAAGAGATTAAATTTGTGCAAGTGTACCTCAAAGATATTGTGGATTCAGTTCCAACCGTCTGCACAGAAGCAAGTATCACAATAAAGTGAGTCACACAAAGCCGGGTGCAGTGGTGCGTACCTGTAATCCTACTTGGGAGGTTGAGGTGGGAGGATCACTTGAGCCTAGGAGTTTGAGTCTGGTTTGGACAACATAGTGAGACCCATCTCTTAAAAAAAATTAAAATTAAAAAAAGGTGAGTTACATGAATGTTTTTGTTTCCCAGTGCATAATATTAATGAAAGTTATGTTTACACCATACTATAGTCTAGTAAGTGTACAATCATACTATGTCTAAAAAAGTACCCACCTTAATTAAGAAATGCTTTATTGCTAAAAAATGCTAATGATTATCTGAGCCTTCAGCAAGTCCTAATCTTTCTGCTGGTAGAGGGTCTTGCTTCAATGTTGATGGTTGCTGACTGATCAGAGTGATCGTTGCTGAAGGCTGGAGTGGCTGTGGCAATTTCTTAAATTAAGACAACAATGAAGTTTGCTACATGGATTGAGTCATCCTTTTCCTAAAGATTTTTCTGTGGCATGTGATGCTGTCTGATAGCATTCACCCATGGTAGAACTTCTTTCAAAATTGCAGTCGGTCCTCTTAAATCCCGCTGCTGCTTTACCAACTAAGTTTACATAATATTCTACATGGTTTGTTGCCATTTCAACAATGTTCACAGCATCTTTACCAGGAGTAGATTTCATCTCAAGAAACCACCTTCCTTGCCCATCTATAAGGAGCAACGTCCCATTCATTCAAGTTTTATCATGAGATTGCAGCAATTCAGTCATATCTTAGGCTTTTCTAATTCTAGTTCTCTTGCTATTTCCACCACATCTGCAGCTACTTCCACCACTGAAGTCTTGAACACCCCAAAGTTATCTATGAGGGTTACACTCGGTTTCTCCTCAGTTCCTGTTAATGTGGATATTTTGCCCCTCTCCCATGAATCACGAATGTTCTTAATGGTATCTAGAATGGTGATTCCTTTTCAGAAGGTCCATTAGAAGAATTTGCTTTGCCCAGATCCATCAAAGAAATTACTATAAAAGATATAAGCTGTGATCACTATAAGCTATAGCCTTATGAAATGAATTTCTTCTAAGACTTAAAAGTTGAAATTACTTCTTGACCCATGGGCTGTAGAATGAATGTTATATCAGCAGGCATAAGAACAACATTAATCTTGTACATCTCAATCAGAGCTCTTGAGTGACCAGGTACACTGTCAATGAGCAGTAATATTTTGAAGGAAACCTTTTTTTCTGGGAGGTAGGTCTCAACAGGGCACTTAAAATATTCAGTAAACCATGTTGTGAACAGATATCCTGTTACCAGGCTTAGTTGTGCCACTTATAGAGCACAGGCAGAGTAGATTTAGTATAATTCTTAAGGGTCTTAGGGTTTTCAGAACAGTAAATGAATACTGGCTTCAAAGTAAAGCCACCAGCTGCATTAACCTCTAACAAGAGAGTCACCCTGTCCTTTGGAGCTTTGAAGCCAGGCATTGACTCCTCCCCTCTAGATATGAAAGTCCTAGACGGTATCTTCTTCCACTACAAGGCTGTTTTGTCACCACTGAAAATCTGTTGTTTAGTGTAGCCACCTTTGTCAGTGATGTTTTTCTTTTTTTTTTTTTTTTTTGAGACAGAGACTTGCTATGTCACTCAGCCGGAGTGTAGAGGTGCAGTCACAGCTCACTCCAGCCTCAATCTCCTGGGCTCAAGCAATCCTCCTACCTCAGCCTCCTGAGTAACTAGGACCACAGGTGTGCACCACCACACCCAGCTAATTTTTTTATTTTTTGTAGAGATGGGGTCTCCCTCTGTTGCCCAGGCTGGGCATTAATTATCTTAACTAGCTTTTCTATATAATTTGCTGCAGCTTCTACATCAGCCCTTGCTGCTTCATCTTGCACTTTTATGTTATGGAGATGGCTTCTTTCCTTAAAACTCTTGAACTAACCTCTTCTAGCTTCCAACTTTTCTTCTGCAGCTTCCTCACCTCTCTCAGTCTTCATAGAGTTGAAGACAGATGGGGCCTTACTCTAGATGAGGGTTTGGCTTAAGGGAGTGTTGTGGCTGGTTTAATTCTCTATCCATTAAAATTTTCTCCATATCAGCAATAAGGCTGTTTCACTTTCTTACCACCTGTGTGTTCTCTGGAGTAGCACTTTTCCTTTTCTTCAAGAAATTTTTTTTTTTTTTTGCATTCACAACTTGGCTGTTTGTCACAAGAGGCCTATCTTTTGGCCTATCTTGACTTTCAACATGCCTTTCTCTCTCAGCTTAACATTACTAGCTGTTGACTTAAAGTGTGAGATGTGTGACTCTTCCTTTCACTTGAACACATAGAGGCTGCTGTAGGGTTATTAAGTGACCTAATTTTAATATTTTTGTGTCTCAGGGAATAGGGAAGCCTGAGGAGAGGAAAAGATAGTAAGAAATGACTGGTCAGTGGAGCAGTCAGAAGACACACAATATTTATGGATTAACTTTGCTGGCTCCCAGACAGTTTGTGGTGCCCCAAAATAATTACAATAATAACACCAAAGATCACTGATCTCAGATCACCATAACAGATATAATAATAATGAAAAATTTGAAACATTCCAAGAATTACCAAAAAGTGGCACAGAGACACCGACGGTTAGACTTGCTCTTAGTGACTAATTCCTCAGTATCTCACTTAAGTGAATGCCCTTTCAAGTAACACAAATTTTGTATTTGAGCACTCTGCTTGTGTTCTTCATCAACAAATACATTAGTATTTTAAATGAAACAAGCCTGTAATAACCCCAAGCTTTGCCTTGGCAGTTCTAGCTCTGTAATGTATGTGTGTAATGTGTGTGTGTGTGTGTTTAAACACAAAGTATATGGAGATACGAAGTATACCTGCCAAGTTAGTATGAAAAACACAAAATTTAGATTACACAGTTAGCTCAGCTTTCATTTTCTGCTCCTGCTAAGTCACAGAATAGAAAATGAGAGAGGGAAAAAGGCTTTCTTGCTATTTCAAATTCAAAACCAACTTCTTAAAGTTAGTTAAGAAACCATTGGCTAGTAGAGCACATTTAATCCCAACACCAACACAATAATTCACTGCTTTAATATTTTCAATGGTTACTTCATTGCATGCATAAGCTCAGAGACAGAATAACTAGAGCCATCCATATATCTGTTACTTTCTTCCCTTTCAGACTCTCTTGCTTTTGGTAATAAAATTCTACATGCCCTCCAGGAGTGTCTAAACCTGACAGCAGCTCCACTATCTATTCTGGCAATGTCTAACTTCCTGTCTTTCATTTACAATATAATACTTTAACAAAAGAAAGATAGACAAAAAGATTTGTTAATTGAATAATGTTTTTCTATGAATTTGTCAGGCATTTTTTTTTGCGCTGTTAGTAAGTTATTTCATTCTTGAAATTACCTTGACGGCAGTAGCTCATTAATCACACTAATATTTGCATAAGAAATCTCTCAATTGTATATACGTTAAATGACAATATAAGTAGATCCATATGACAGATCCATCCGTTTGATGGATTTGGGAAATTGGGTTTTCTAGGATATCAGTTCTCTATTTTACTTGGTAATGTTCCTGGCAGTGAAGAGCTTTAAATTTGGCATTTGTCATTGCCTATCTTGGTCCAAATTATATCATGCTAAATATTATGAAGAATACTGCACAGGGGAAATCAGCAGTGGGTTATTACCGTGTACTAGTGTCTAATATTAGAACTGCTAGCCAGATGCTTCCTGTGGACTTCTAGAGAGCAGAGAGTGTGGTGCCACTGAGCTCCAGAGGCACTGATGTGAAGTACGCAGAAGATAAATCATGCAGTATATTCATTTCATTTGGCCCATGTAACTCCACTGACGTCACTGTGGATAGATAACTGGGGTCTGTACCAGGCCCCTCTCGCTTCTGCACTCTGAGGCCTTCGGAGGTGCTGCCCATCTAGCCAGGCCCTGCAGTAATTTCACACACTCCTCTAATAAAGTCCTCGGGGGCTGTCATGTATTTTCCTCTGTTTGCCCTATTATCCCTCCCTGCTTGAGTCTCACAGATAATTGATGATGCTTCAGTTAATCATCTTTCCCTCTCTTTTGTTCACCAGGTACTTCGGCCTTCAAGGGGCTCCTTTATTGAGAATCAATGTCTTCTCCTAGGTAATTGATCACCCTAGACCCAGGGACACCCAATTCATCGTAATCATCATGAATAATCAAAAAGTGGTAGCTGTGCTACTGCAAGAGTGCAAGCAAGTGCTGGATCAGCTCTTGTTGGAAGCGCCAGATGTGTCGGAAGAGGACAAGAGCGAGGACCAGCGCTGCAGAGGTGAGGTTCTGATGGGAGGCACCAGGGGTGAACCAGCAGGTTCACTCTCCTGTCCCCTGCCTGAACGACACGTTCTTATCTCTGCCCTATTTTTCTTCTCTTGGCAGATGACCACCGAGAGATGAGTGGATTTCTAGGGCATGAATGGGACATGGGCTGCGGGCGGACGGGCAGGGGAGGAAGCCCACTTTGTTGCACTGAATTGCTGTCAGTTCTAATTTTAGGCTTCAGTAAACATGAGGCTACAAGAAACAGTTTAGTTCAAGAAGAACAAAGGATCCAAGTTGGCTGGTGCACGTAAATTTCAATTATTAAAAAATTGAAGCAATTTCTGAATGGTGGCACATACTTTTTTTCAAACTAGGATTTTTTGCCTCATCGGTTTCCATAGACTTCTAGGGTTTCCATAAATACGTCATCTCACCAGTCCAATCTCACTATTTTGATCACCAATACATTCTTCATGCTATATTCTCACACCATTTGTAAAATAAATTCTCTCATCTCGATAAATACTGATTGCATCATTATCAGGTTTTAAGAATTTGGCTTTTTGCTCATTTTGTTCTTTGTGCCATTCAGAGTATCAGATAAGTCATTGTTTGGGAAGTTTCCATCACAAAGTCTAGAAAGTTAAAGCAATTCTTATGTCTTCTTTAACCAATTTTTGAGAGGCAATCTTCTGGGTTTTTTTTTTAGATTTCTTTTTAGCATTTGAATAAATTTTCCTCCACTTCCATAAGTACTGTCCTTTGTACATGCTTTTAATATTTTTCTCAGTATTTTTAGCACTTTGCTATTCCTCACAGAAACAAGATTCCCAAATAAAATGCATACTCCTCATTTTTTGCTGTTGTTCATTATGTAATGGGAAAATGTTCTGGGAGAGTCTTTTCTCCTGAGTTCTTGTACATAGGCACATATATTTTTACAAGGGCACTATGGAAGTCTTAATTATTTGTAACCTGTCATTTGTCCTCCTTTCAAGATAAAAATCCCCTACGTCCAGTCATTTCACAGCCTCAGTTTCTGTGATACACCAATGTGTGACTTTGCTTCCTGGCTCCATGTGCCTGTCAGCCTGAGATCACTCTCACAGATGTCAGCCTTTGTCAGGGAATGGCAGGTACTTGGCACCTATAGAATATGCTCTATGGCTGGCCCTAGTTCTCCCCAGGGGCGGTGTGTTGTGTTCTGTTGTTTCCACTGAAGTTTTTCTCTCCCTTTTACTACACCACACCCTTTGTCTCCTCAGCCAAATTCCTTTAAGCTTTGTGTTCTCCCTGATGAAGACTCTGAGCTCCCAATTGGGTAGCATTTTCTTTTCTTTTTCTTCACGAGTGCCACAGAATAGAAGAAGTAATCAGTTTAGTTCCAGATAAGGCAAATCACGGCTGTAAAATCACTAAATTAGACATGGCCCTTCAGGTAAGCTGCTTGGGGAAGCAAGTGATCAGAGAGGCAGAGGAGGTTACTGCTGGGTCTGGGGCTGACTGCCCGGCGTTGGTTGAATCCAATAAACCGACGGGGAAGGACGCCTCCTAAGCGGAGCCATTGGCAGCCGTAGCATCAGCCCCAGCCCAAGGGCGGCGCTGCGTGTCCCACCCGAGCCCACCGTGCGGATGGAGTGCAGCCTGCACCGGATCCCTTCCCTCGGCAGGTGGCTGCGGAGCGGCTCGAGCAGGCGGGTCGTGCCGCCACCGATGTCGTCACCGCATGTGCTCCCAGAGAAAGGCATTAGTACAGGGTCACTTATGGCAGCGGGGCGAGCCAGCAGACCCTGCAACACAAACACTGAGGTTTTTCTTCTCCTTCCTCCTCTCGACGCCATGATTTTCCCTCAGAAACTGTCCTTGTTAGCATGGGTGACTACCCCAGCAACTTCTCCAGAGATGAAGAAGGAACTGAAATCCAGAGATACATTTTAAAAACATAGTTAAGAGGCATATTTTATTTCAGAGTGCCTCACAGGACATTCTGACGTGAGGTGTGGGGAAAGGGTGATGTGAAGGAGGCAAAAATGAGTTAGTTGTAAAGAACAGACTTTTCCATTACCATGAAGAAATTTGAAAATATGAACACTATTCACTCCAAAGTGTGATAAAATTCTATGAACCCAGAAATCACATTTCCTTTGCCATGTGACTGCTCACATTGACTCAGTGTTCAAATAATTTAAAGAATTTATTAGCTAAACTGGGACACTTCTTCTGAGAGTGAAAAGGAGCACTGTTAATAAGGACCCTAGGACCACACAGGATGGTCCTAAGCAAACAGGTCTAAGGGGTCATCCTGTCTGTGACTGTTTAGAAATGCTCTTGAAGAAATGTTCTCTACAGCTATATTGAAAACAGTTTCAGAAGTTGAAATTATGTCAGTGGCTGTAAGAGGGTCAGGTTTTCCAGCAGAATGTGGCCACCTAAGTCCCTAATCCTGTGGGTCTGCTTTCAAGGGGGAGCACTATCAGTCACACAGTAGATGCTCAGTAGTCCTGGACTGCTCAATGGAGATAGGGGGTGATAATTTCAGTGTGATACCTGTAAGCCATCCTCGGTAATCAGTGTGAATCATTCATTGGCATAGCCCATGTGATATCCCCTCAATGCCAAACAGTCCTTCCCCACCAGAAAACTTCCTTCCATTTGCCCAGTTCATAAATGGTTCTAAATGGCTCATAAAAAGGGATCACAGACCAAGTTAGATTTTCTCTCTCCTTTTTTCTTTTGTTCTTTCTGTCATATCTCTTTTGCTGTATTTAACATGTTTCACATAGATACTAGATGAACCATGTCTTTTTTATAGATGATATAAAAATATTTTCAAAGGGCCAGCTAGAAGATGAACCTTGTCTTTTAATCATACTGGTCTTTCACCCATCATGATGTGACTTATAAAAATGATGAGACATGATGCTTGTCTTCAGGGAGATAGCAGTCCAGTGAGAGACAGAAATAGTTACAGAGCAGTGGGATGATGGCTGAAAAGAGCCTGCTCCCTTGGGTTTGGAAGTGCTCAGAGCAGGCGCTCAATTCCACTGTGAGGTCACGGTGGATTGAGGAGAAGTGGCAATGTTTGCATTGAGTGCTGAAGCCAGTGGGCCTGAATTTGGTCACAAGGCACTGGGGGAAGTCAATCCAAAGAGCCGGAACGGGATTTGCCAAACCACTGAAGATTTTTATTCAGGGCAATGGACTGGTCCATCTTGTTTTTAGAAAAACGAGGCTTGACAATGTGCAAGAGGGACTGGACGGAGCAAGATTCAGACAATAATTCAGGCAAGAATTACTGCCAAGGAAGAGGAGAAAATGGATTTTAGGAGCCACAGGATTTGACAACCAATTAGGTTTGGGGAAGAAGAGAGAACACAAAGTCTAGACTGACTCCTGGGTTTCAGATTCGGGGAACTTAGTAAATGGTGGTGCCAGTCATTAAAGTAGAGATTTATAAGGGAAAACAGATTTAGAAAAAAGTGATGAGTTCAGTTTTGGATGTTGAGCATGAGAGGCTTGCAAGACAAGTACCTAGAGATTTATAGCTGGCAGTCATATATACAGGTCCTTTATTTATATGGCAGTCATATGTACGGGTCCATATATATATAATCCTTTATTCAGAACCCTGGCATCACATGTGTACTTCAGAATTCAGAATTTTTCTAGTGTTAGGAGGGTCTTCTGGTGCATGTACTGTACATCACATTCATGCTTCAGTAGCAGGTGGAGTGCAGTCAAACACAAAAAATTTTGCAGCAAAACATTTGAGCAATCTCACTGAGTCCTTAACCAGGACTATAAATAGCCTCTAGTTAATTCAATTCTGTTTCGGGTGCCAAACTTAAGAAAAATTTCCAGTTGCTAAAGCTGCTTGTGTTTCCAAAGTTTGTATAGGAGATTATAGACCATTATAAGTAGACTTGGTACCCATTAAGAGATTTAATACATCTACTAATGTGAAACAGGGCCATTTCACAATTAATTTACACCATTTCAAATCTGATATGTGTTTTTCGTAGTTATTTTCTGTATTCAAATGTAGTCCATATCGAAGGGATGAGAAAGTGAAGTCTTAGAGAAGCAAAAAGAGGTTGTACAAATTAACACTGCATCATCCACCTGCCACAAGCCCAGAATGCCATTCCATTTCAGTCCCTTTCTCATTTTACAGGGAAAATAATATTTCCTTCATTCCTTTCTCTGATTCTTCATGCAGAGATAGTCACTAAAGTGCTTTACTTCCTGCTAAAAACCTTTCTTAATGCCTGACTACCCCAATTTACCTGTAGGGCAAAGTCGGCCAGGGCCACCCCTGACAGATAGCTCCTCACTGTTATTCTTTGAGTCAGAACCAACAGCTTAGACCAGCCAGCAAGAGGCAGGGAAAAGGTTTTTCTCTTTTTTTTTTTTTTTTTTTTTGCCACTGAGGTGCTTCATCATAACATTGGTAGCTCAACAGCCTTTTCTTTGACTGCAATTTCCTTACCTGAACTCTGACCTTTTCAGCTTTACTCCCCAGCGAGTTAAGGACCCTGATCCAGGAGGCAAAGGAAATGAAGTGGCCCTTCGTGCCTGAAAAGTGGCAGTACAAACAAGCCGTGGGCCCAGAGGACAAAACAAACCTGAAGGATGTGATTGGCGCCGGGTTGCAGCAGTTACTGGTAGGAAGAGCCACACCACCTGTTCCTCTGATATCCCCAAGTGAGGCATTTAGACTCTAAGTGGTCTAATAGATTAAATTTCTTTGAAGCACAAGACAGCCCCCTACCCTTATGCTCAGCTCTGCCAGATTGACTAATGTGAGGGAAATAGCTGTTTGAAAAACATTACTTGCCCATAAGATCTTGTGTTGTAAAGCCAAATCCAGTAAAAGTGAAGAGTGGTCAGTGAGTCTAACATGAACCCTGTCATCTTGAAATATTTACATATCCTTGGTGGGCCAAAGAAGCAGATTTGATTTCACCATTCCTCACAGCATTTTAATTTTGAAATGCTACTTTCTAAAAGTTAGGTAGCTTAAAAAAGTAAATGCACCCTTGTTTCATCAGTGTGACTTGCTGTCTAAGCTACTGAAGTCTGGCATATTCCTTCCCTGAGCCCCACCTAGGGTCCTGTTGACTTTCTTATATCCTCAAGATTAAGGCTGTTCAGGAAGCATCAAGTCAAAGTCATTGACATGCTTATTTCTCAACTCATTTATTGGAAATTAATTGAACTGGTACTTCTATGCCAGATAGAAGAGAGCCTGGGGAGTAGCACAGGAACTCAGATTGCAGCTCAGGATTCAGGCTTTGATTCTGGGGATAACATAGGGAGAACCGTTTTCCTTTTTGATAGCGTTGCTTTTTACCCACATTCTCTCGGAAGATTGTCAAGGAAGAAAGCTTGCTAATTTATATATATATATATATTTTCTCAAATAAAAAATATATTTGTTAGGCATTAAAGCATGACAATATCCTAAAATTTTTACTTTATTGCTTTACGTAAGATTGTATTTTTGAGTCATCCCAAAATAAATATATAGACATTGTCTTTGCCCATTCAAGCAAAAATCTAAGAAAGACCCCCTGATCTATAGACACACAAGAGCATCTTTAGAGACTTAATAGAAACAGTAAAACCCCAGCTCTCTCATCCTCCTAAAAAACAAACAAAACAGGTTAAGCAGACTGGGGATTGCAAGCAAAGGAAAGTGAATGCTTAAGGAGAACACAATGGTGAGCCAGGGTTTTAAATAAATGTGGTCAGTATTAGTGGAAAAGTAGAATAAAATAATAACTATAACTTAACTATCACTATAGAGTTTACAAAGTGCTTGTAACACTTTACAGAGTGATTCAGATGCTCTTTGACTTACAAAGGAGTTGCCCCCAGTAAATCCATCATAAGTTGGAAATATAATAGGTCAAAAATATTATACATTAAAAATGCATTTACTACACCCAACCTACTAAACATCATAGCTTAGCTTAGCCTACCTTAAGCAAGCTCAGAACCCTTACATTAGTGTACAGTTGGGCAAAATCATCTAATATAATGCCTATTTTGTAATAAGGTATTGAATATTTTGTGTAATTTAGTGAATACTGTGCTGCAAGCGAAAAACAGAATGGTTGTAGTCTACTAAATGTATATTGCTTTCACACCATTGTAAAGTAAAAAAATCATAAGTTGAACAATTGTTAAGTTGGGGTTCTCCTGTATTACCATTATCATCCCTCTTTTGAACAAGGAAATTAAGGTGCGAAGAGATTAATTTGCTCAGGGGAAGAACAGACCAGTAAGTGGTGAAATTGTGACTTACAGCCTTCTCCTTCATCCAACTCCAATTCTCCATCAGGAAGCACCAAGTGAAGAGCTTGAAAAAACAGGTAGAAGCCATGAGGTTTACTTATTGTATCTAAAGTAAGCTGTAGGCCATCCAGTAACACTTTTTGTATTGATGATGGAAATGTTCTACAGCTGTGTTCAATATGGTAGCCACTAGCTACAGATGGCTCTCAAGCACTTGAAATGTGGTGAATGGGACCGAAGAACTGAATTTTTATTTTAGCTATTTTTTATTCATTTCTATGTAAATAGTCACATGTGGCCAGGGCTGCCATTTTATTGGACAGTGCAGCTCTAAAGCAGTGGCTATAAATGTGAGACCTCCCAACAATAGATTAGCATCATCTGAAATCTGGTCAGAAATTCAAATTCTTGGGTGCAAATCAAAAACCCTTACTGAATCAAACACCCTGGGGGTGGGAGTCCAGCAATCAGCATTAGAGAAGCCCTCCAGATGATTCTGATGCTAAAGTTTGAGAGCCACTGTTTGCAGGAAAGAGTAGAGTGGCAAGCAAGGGGGAAGGGCAGAGAGACTGAATGGGGATATAGTGGAGAGGGTCAAGGTAAGGAGTAAGGAGAATCCAGTGAGAAGGCTGTAGGAGACCAATCCAATAAAAAAAAATCTCTTTTCCATCAATTCTGGGAACTGTTGCTTAGACTGGAGCCCTTCTGCAAAAGCTGATGGTCACTTTACTTGCTTGGAGATCCCTTGTGGAATTAGCCTAGTGGCATAAAAGAACTTTACAAACCTTCCAAGGAAGGCGAGAGCAAAACGGCCTCACAAGAGGGAGTGACTCAGCTTTGACTTTTGGGCTTAGCAGGTTTCTCTGACTTTTGAACATAGGCTGAGTGATGTGGCACATCACTATAACTGGGGTTTACTCCCCTTGTTCCATCCTGCAATCACCAGATCCCCTGAGCCCTGCATTCAAAGCTGGTAGTGACATTAGCTTAAAAACTGAAAACGATGTTTTAAACATCATTAAAAACATCAGTCCCGCTGCACTGGGGGTTTAATGTGAGTTGGGAGAGAAGCTGCTCATAGTTGGAGTAGACTATTTTAAGAGCCCACTTATGATACCTCCCGCTATGCCTCTCTATACTACACAAATTTCACAATTGGAGAAATAGAAGCATAGAGAATTTAAGAAGTTTGAGCCCAGCTCACAAGGTCACTCAGTAGCAGCTCTAAGGGGCGCTGTCTATTAGGCCTTCTTTAGTCTCTAATGTATTTAATCTGGCAGCTTTTTGAACTCTGAGCATCATTTTCTTTAGCTTGCCCAGCAAGCTATAAATTAAGCAACCGCACCTCCTAATGACTTTTAGGATGTTCTCCTATTGTGCCAGACCCCAAGTGCACAATTGCTAAACCACTCTGTTTTGTAAATATGGAGAACCATAGCACCCTGTAAGTCAGGCACTCCTAAAATCTATTTTTAATATCTTAGATTATTAAAAATAGTTTGAATAAATTCCATGATTTGTTTTTGTTTCATTGTATCCCAATCTGGTCGATTTCAATATTAGAGTTTGTCAGAGCTGGATGGTCATATTTTAATAACTGATTAATTGTGAAATTCCATTCTCATGTAAAAAATATTTAAAGATTACTGAGTTTGTCTTTTCATGTTTTCTCTCTTTTTATAGTTTATTCATAAATATAAACTTTCTGTGATTTTTTTACCTTGAAATGAATCCTTCCCATAAAATGTTTCCCCTCTGTTTTTCAAATAAGCATTGTACTCAGAGCATAAACACTGTGTCTTTAATTCCACAAATAACAGATCGAAGTTGAGAACAGAATGCTTAAGAAAAAGGCAAGTCACAAACAACTGTTTTCCACAGTTCATGAGTTGGTAAAATTAAGAGTCATTTATAATGTTATTCTCTTGGGCTGAACTTAACCAAGAAAAATGATACATGTTTTGTGTTTTGCTTTCTGGTCTCCACTGTGTTCCCATTTCCTCCCTCCCCACTGCTCTCCTCCCCTCCTCCCTGACTCTCCAATCCCTTTTCCTTTGGTGTGTGGCCACAGACAGAAATTTATGGCAGGGGCCAACCTCCTTTACACTCCACACAAAGCTTGCTGACTTGAGAGAGTTTGTCCGCGCTCTCCCAGAAAAAACACCTGCAGTACGCTCCCCAAGAAACCTGAAGAGATGGGAGATTAATGTGGCTGTAATAGCTGGGCAGTGTTTTTGGTATTATGCCCTCTCCCTAGGTAGATGGGTCTTTTCCGAGATGATACCAATTATTTATTGCTGAAACATCTGTTGATAACTGCAGCTGCCCTTGTAAAACAAAGCATATCACGGGGTCACAGGCTACGGCGACCTAAAATCCTACCTCATGCTAGTTTCAGTCTATTCAGCAACACCCTCAAGTCCATGGGTTACCATCATCTTTAATGTCTCATCGTGCCATAGAAAATACTTTGTAAACACCGAGCTGCCCTGCCCTATAGGCTTTGAAGTATTATTTCATCTTCATCGGTAATTTATATTCCAGCACCATTGTACTGTGGGAAAAAGAGGGGGAACCTTTTTTGTTTTCCATTTAATTGTATATCGCCTGACACTTTGACCTGTATTATTAGTATTAGTCAGAAAAAGGATTTTCTCCCTCTCTTATTTAAAAATAAAATTTCAAGGGAAAGTAAGCGCTCCTTCAGCTCTTTTCACTCAAAACAATGTTTACACTCTGAGAGGGAAAGATGAAAAGCATGAGCAACTTTTTTCAAGTGTCGGAGAAGGGCATTTCAGTCTGTGAAAGAGAACAGTAAGGCCCTTATAAATATCATTCAGCAAAACCTTTGATGGATTTTTCAAAAAGTATTGAAGGCATTTAGCGTTAGCTTCTGTTTAGCTCAGCTTTGGGCCATGGCGGTGGAGTGCTAGCTAGGAAAACCCATAGAATGCTAACTTGCTGCTGAGATGCCGGGGAAGGACTCAACGTGGATGCCACCTTGGGAATTTTTCTTTCTGTAGTTTTCACTCTTCTAAACAACAACAAAAAATGTCTAGTGAATTAAAATAAAATATGAAAGTAAAGCTTTCAAAAAGTAAAGTAAAGGGTGTGTTTGGATTTGCAAGTGGGAGCAGATTGGGCTGCAAGGCCAAGAGCTGTGTGATAGCCCTGAGTTTGAACATTCCCTGCACAGGTTTGGGGGTCCTGATGCTGGAGGGAGACTGGCTTATTTCTGTGGAGGGAGGGGCCTGCTGTCAGTCAGCCCTGGATTTACTGTGGTGCCCACTCACGGAGATACAAGATCATTTTTATAGGTTGGCACTAAAAGCACAGTCTGAGGACATGAAGCAGGCTCAGAAGGAGGATATTCTTTTTCCCATGTCCTTTTCAACTCTACAACCATGAAAAATGGGTAATCTGATAGCCCTGATGTTGTAAATATTTTTGGAAAGTGTCTGTGGTGCCCTGGAGTGATTTGAAAAGACACCATAATAATAATAATAATAAATGTTGAGTTGTTTCTTTATGCTATTTTGTGGAAAACCCCTGTGGATGAATAAAGTTTGATCAATTTAGTCCCAATAATTTTTTTAACTTTTATTTTAAGTTCAGGGCTACACATGCAGGTTTGTTATGTAGGTAAACTTGTGTCACAGGGGTTTGTTGTACAGAGTATTTTGTCACCCAAGTACTAAGCCTAGTACCCATTAGTTATTTTTCCTGATACTCTCTCTCCTCCCATCATCCACCTTCCAATAGGCCCCAGTGTGTTGTTCCCTTCTAAGTGTCCATGAGTTCTCATCATTTAGCTCCCACTTAGAGTGAGAACATGCGGTATTTGGTTTTCTGTTCCTGTGTTACTTTGCTAGGGATAATGGCCTCCAGCTCCATCTGTGTTCCTGCAAAAGACATGCTCTCATTCTTTTTTATGGCTGCATAGTCAGAATATTTTTTCTAATATGTCTCTTTGTATTATCTTGGTGCCTTTGACTTGTTGATATTTTTGTTTTTATACTACTTAAGATGTTAGAGGGGTGAGATTTAAAACATGAATAAACATGAATAAATATAAGAGTTGGTTATTGCAAGATTGCAGAAAATGCTTTAAAAATGCCTAGTGTGACTAACTCGTGAGCTCAGGGGATGGAGGAGAGACTTTAGCAAAAGAAAGCAAAGTATGAATTTATTAGGAAATGAAATATCAAGTTAAAGAAAGTTATGGAAACAATAAAATTCCCTCCATGAATAAGCTCTTGATTAAAAGATGTCCTTAAAACTAATTTTAAAACATTTATTCCAGGTGCCGGTTTTTATATTAGTAATACAGAATTCAAAAGCAGTAACAGGTGCTGTTTAGATTATGATTCTTTCATCATTTTTCATCTTATATGCTTTGGGGCTTTCATAGCAGAAATCTTTTTCATCAAGTTGCAAAAAAAAAAAAAAACACAAAGTGTAGATAAACTCTGCATTCATTCATTCAACAAACTTTACTGGGTGTCAGCATGTGCCAGATGTTTGACAGAACACTCAAAGAAGTGCAGAAGAAAGAGAAGACCCAATTCATGTCCTGGAAAACTACAAAAATGAAGACAGAGGGCAACCCTTGTCAAAGTCCAGCTTATTGGAATGGTTCTTCCCATGTATTGACCTCCTAATATGTGGCAGTTGCTCAATCTATGTTCTTTAAGCTATGACGACAACCCTTAAAGAGAAGGGTTATAATTCCCTTTTCACAGTTAAGAAAATTAATGCTCAGAGAAGTAACTTTTCAAAGTCACAATCTGAACTCCCCATCTCTTTATGGACAGCTCTGTTCTTTCCATTCAGGGGCACACAAGGAGGGCCATGCTGGCTTTTTTTTTTTTTTTTAGACAGCATCTCGCTCTGTTGTCCAGGCTGGAGTGCAATGGCGTGATCTCGGCTCACTGCTGCCTCCACCTCCCGGATTCAAGCGATTCTCCTGCCTCAGCCTCCTGAGTAGCTGGGACTACAGGCACGCACCACCACTCCCAGCCAATTTTTGTATTTTTAGTAGAGACAGGGTTTCACCATGTTGGCCAGGATGAGCTCAATCTCCTGACCTTGTGATCCGCCTGCCTCAGCCTAACCAAAGTGCTGAGATTACAAGCGTGAGCCACCGTGCCTGGCCTGTGCTGGCTTTTAAGATGTTGAGATACCAGGGGTTGGTCACAGCCATGGCCAGGGGCCTGATTGCTCCTACTCTTGCCCTGACTAATTCAGGAACCTCTGGATCTTGTCATGATCTGAAAATGAAAGTTTGTCTCAGAAAGAACCTTGCTCCAGCCAAATGTCTGGTGTCTCTAAGGCTGCAACAATTGTATTTTGTTTAGGTCCCCTAGATAAGATAGCAAATCAGGAGAATGGAGCATGAGGAAGGGAGCTGAGCTACTTGTCAAAGGCAGAAGAGCATGTGGTGACCGGTTGGACAGACGGGGTGGGCACTAAGTATAAGATTTCAGTCTTGCAATGTGCTGGGCAGTGATGCCTTTACCTGAGACAGCACAGGAGGGGAAGCTGGCATGTGCTTCTTGGATGTCTTACAGACATCTGAAACTCATGGTCCCTCTCTTCCCTGCTCTCAAATAAGGTCCCCTTTCAGGGTCCAGTAGAATAAGCTGGGAACTTCAAGGTCATTCTTGTCACTTTCCTCTCCCTTGCCTGACATATCCATTCCATCACCAAGCTTAGTAGGTCTTATTTTCTAAATCTCTCCTCAATTCCCCTCCACCCCATCACTACTCCTGTTCCAGCTGCAGCTATATCTCACCTGGGCTCCTGCCATTGCTTCCTGAATAGCCTCACACATCTACCCCACTTCACTCCTCCACATCTCTTCTCCATGCACAGAGGTGTTTGTGCAAACTACAACTCTAGTCTGTCACCCTAGTATGCCTAGGAATGCAAAACTCTGAAATGAGGCCCATGGGCCCTGCCAGGCATAGTCCTTCCCTTGGCTGCCCCTGCTGCATCATCTCCATCTCATGGCCTCCTTTCAGTCCACACTCTTACCGGGATTATTCCATGCACATAGCTGCTCTCCATTCCCGAGACATTCTTCCCTCCCTCCTTTGCCTGATTAATTTCTGTGTATCTTTCCCTTCTCAGCTCACATCTCAGTTCTCAGGGAAGCCTGCCCTGATCTCTGGGACTAAATCAAACTTCCTCAATATAGGCTTGGCTATAAGGTATCACCTTTTCAAAGTTGCAGTTTACATTTGTTTGTGGGGTTTCTTTTACATTTGTTTACATTTGTTTGTGGGGTTTCTGTCTCTCTCTTCTGCTAGCTACAAGCTTCATGAGGTCAGGGCCTTATCTGTGTTCACCATTATATCCCTGACACTTAAAATGCATACCTTCAAAGAACACCCTTGGATGGATGGATGATGGATGGATGGGTGGATGGATGGATGAATGAAACCGTATTAATGTTATTTGAAAAACATGGTGTTTGATGTGCATGTGTGTTGAAATATATATGAGGCTGCCCCATGTGTGGCCCACAGTCAGACAATTGTCTAGGTACTGGTCAGGAGGATAATGCCCATGTATCTCTCAGGGATGGAAGGCATTTAAGTAAATGCCTTAAATGTTTCCTGATAAAGAAATGAAGTAATCACCTGAAGAAGATAATGCTATTTGTTGTGCATATTATAAATTGGAGTGGGGAGATCCTGAGTTTGGGGAGCACACTGAACTGCCAAGGAAAGAATGATTATGTGAGGTCCTGCATAAACGTTAGGCTTGAGAGAAGTGGAAAGAGGAAGCATATCTAAGAGACATTATGAAAAACAACCTAAGGTATGTCATGATTCATGGAATGAGCTAGACTGAGGTAGATTGTATTATTGTTCCCACATATTCACTTTTGCCATGTGACTTGCATGCCTCCCTCTGAAAGGAATATACCTTCCCATGGAGATATTAGGCTAGGCCCTCACAACCTGTCTTAGTCTATGAAATGTGGCTGGAAGTGACATATGCCAGTCCCTAGCAGAAGATTTATGAGCCGTTGTGTTGTTCAGCAATTGGAAGTTTTCCTTTGCCTTGTGAACAAGGTAGGGGCTACTCCCTCAACCTGAGAAGGGCAACAAATGTTGAAGAGAGTGTCAGTGTTACAGCCAAACTGCAGGCCATAAAAAGTATGGACAACAATTGCCAAAACAATTTTGTCATTAAAGGCAATTAAATTTTAGCATTATCACAGTCTTACCATGTATCATGGGTTGAATTGACCCCCCAAATGATGCATTAAAGTCTTATCCCTCGGTACCTCAGAGGACTTTATTTGAAAATAAAGTTATTGTAGATGGAATTAATTAAGTTAAAATGAGGTCATACTGGAGTAGGGTGAGCCCTTAAGCCAGTGTGACTAGTGGCCTTGTGAGAATACCTAGAGACATAGGGTAAATGCCATGTGATGATAGAGGCAGAGATTGGAACCATACAGCTGCAGATCAAGAAGCACAAGGGTTGCTGGCAACATCAGAAGCTAAAAGAAAGGCAGGGAACAGATGCTCCTGTTAGAGCATGGCCCCACTGACGTCTTGATTTCAGACTTCCAGCCTCCAGAAGTGAGGAATGATACATCTATATTCTTTTAAATCACCCAGTTTATGGCCTTCTCAGGAAACTAACATACCAAGTGCATATGTGTAAGACAATGAAGCAAGAAAGCTTTCAAATGACTTCTAGATTCTTAGTATGTAAGCCTGTGCCTCTATAGAACAGAAGGCAAAATAAACCCCAGTCCACAGGAAAAAAAAACAGAATTTGTTCAATGGAATATTTCAACAGAAATGCTTCTAAAAGGAAAAGAAGAATAGGCTCTAGTATCTACTAAGTTATTTTATTCTTAAACATAACTAGAGAAAATAGATTGGGAAAAACATATCACTCTTCCCACTTCATCAGTTTGTGGTAAATAGTACAGTCAAGAGCCCACTAAATATTTCCATTTGGATGTCCTAGATGTCTCAAGTTCAATAGGTCCAAAACTGAACTCATAATCTCTCAACTTCTTCTCCCTCCACCAACCAAACTTTATCCACCCCCAGCGATCACCATATCGGTAAATGGCACTACAAACCACCCAGTTCCCCAAATCAAGACCTTGGCTTTAACTTCCCCCCAACCCTCATATCTCATTTGTTACCAAATTCTAATAATTTTCCTCTTAGATGTCTCTCAAACACATTTTCCTTTCCCTAATCCTACTGTAACTATTCTGGTTCCAAGCATATCATCTCATTCTTAGAATATTATTATTATTAGGTTAGTGAAAATGTAATTGTGGTTTTTGCAATTAAAAGTAATTTCATTTATCTGAGACAGTGTATGTCTCTGTTGCCCAGGCTGCAGTGCAGTACAGTGGTACAATTTTGGCTGACTGTAACCTCTGCTTCCCAGGCTCAAGCCAACCTCCCACTTCAGCCTCCCAAGTAGCTGGGACTACAGGTGCATGTCACCATGCCTGGCTAATTTTTTATTTTTTTGTAGAGATGGGTTTCCCAGAGCCGTGTTTCCCAAGCTGGTCTCAAACTCCTGAGCTCAAGTGATCCACCTGCCTAGGCCTCCCAAAGTGCTGGGATTGCCGGATTGAACCACTGCACCTGGGTCTCTTTCCTAAATTATATCCAACTCCTCTCCCTAACTCTAGTCACATTCCCTGTATCTGAAAGAACAGGAAGGTCATGCTGCAGACAGATTTAAAAACAAACAAACAAACGCTCAGGGGCTGAAAGCAAAGAAGGTTTATTCTGTCCTCTTTCTACATGTCCATCTGAGGTCAGTAGGAGGCTCTGCTTTATGTCAGTCTCCTCAGGAGCCCAGATTGATGAAACACCTAACATGTAGAATGTGGCTGGTTGCCATTGCAGGGGGAAGCAGAAATAAGGAATTGCACACTGGGTTTTAAATGCAATTAACCCAACAGATGTGGCCATTGGTCAAGAGAAGCCATGTGGTCACATTTCTTTTCAAGAAGCCAAAGAAATACAATCCCACTGTGTGCCCAGAAGGAGAAGACCCAGAAATATATTGGCAGATAGGCTGCCATGGCCTGCTAGCTTCTCTCCACAATACAACTGAAGCATGTTTCCAAAAGAGCAGGCTGGCATTCCTTCATACTTAAATTTGGGGAGGGGGTGTGGGGGAGTTGGAAAAAATCTCAACTAATTAAAAGAAAATAACAAAACAAAAACAAGACAACCATGTAGATCTTACAGAAGTACCTAATACTAATCCTCAACAAGAAAATCTTCTAAATAAATTTGGGTGAACATTTTCATCAAGGTGGTGAGAATACTAGTTACTTTTGTTCTTTATACTTCTTTGATTCTTTACAATAAACATTGCTTACCATTATAATAAAGGAAGTGAAGAGAGAGAGAGAAAGAAGAAGGATTGTTAAACAGTTGTCCTTAAATCTAGACAAGGTCAAATGTTCAAAAACAAACTTCTCACCACTTTTCTAAGAGCAAGTACAAATACTGAAGTGCACACATCTTAACAATGGAGAGGCTAAAGTCATTAACTAAGTGACTCAAGTACTGCATCTTTTCTCCAAGTAAAGTAAGAATTTAAAATGCAATGTTATTCTTTCCAAACATTTTCTCTTCCCATTTGGTGGCCTGCTATAAGCTGAGTATCATTATTCTTCTGTTATATTTTTTAGATCATTTTAGCCTGGTGTGCATACACACATACATGTGTGAAATATATATATATATATATACTGTATATATAATTCGTATTGAGTACAAGTTATTTCTCCATCAAATGATAGAACATCAAAGCTGGAGAGAAATTCAGAGGTCTTCTATTTCAAGCCCATTGTTGGGTAGGTGGGGAAACTGAAATCTAGAGAGAATGAGAAGAGGCTCACCAAGTCACACAGCCAGTTCGTGGAAATGACGGGACCACCACAGCCGGGTTTCCTACTCCTAAATGTGGGGTTTTCTCCCTGAATCTACATGACTGCCTGGCTAGGCAGGCTGTTGTAGGGCTGGGGCAGCTTTGCCCTTGTTGCACTCCTTTTTTCTCTGCTGCCCCATAGCCTGCCCCTCTGCTTCTTTCTGTTAATGTGATATGACTATTTTATTCGGAGCAGAATTAATTAAAACAGAAATTGTATAATTTTCAATAATCAACATTTAAAACTTGAATTTCTTTTGCTGAACATTATAGGTCTTGTTTTGAAAAGAAGCCAGATAAAAGGTTTAGATGCTTCAAAAATAAATTTTATTTAATAAGTGAAAATTAGTTGCCAAGAGAATGGAGCTTTGGAGGAAAATATTAGCCCCAAGGCCTATGTATTTTCAGACTTTAAGGTAGAGTCTGATTAAAATCACCAAGGATTTAAACCCTGCTCTAAAACTCTGCCAAAAACTGCCCTTTTAATATAGTACTTTCAAGTTTCAATGGAAGATAAATTAAAATGGTGGCTTGTCCTTAAAATTCTACCAAGAAACTTTGGTTGCCACAGAATCAGGCATGCAAGTTATCCCTTTGATGAGGCTAAATCTATGGCATGAATTTCATGTCTCCCCATAATGAGGCCTGAAGACTGAGCCAAGTCCTGGAGGAGTTGATTTGACTAAGACAAGTGGGCTGAGCAACCCAGCTCAAAATGCTAGCAGAAAATGAACAGGTTCAAGTGTTGGGCAGACAAAAGAAAGTGATGACCTTCAGAAAATAAATCCTAGGGATGTGATCATTCTTTCTGGCAGCAGATAAGAAAAACATCATCTCCCAAATCTTATATGTTAGGTAAATAAGGAGCTGAAATAATATTATCTCCATATATCTGACTGTGTTTATATGAGGTTGAACCATATAAAGTGTCACCTTTGTATGCAACAAACGTCAAACACCAGCAATCTCATATGATTCAATGTGATATATTCTTCACAGCATATAATCTTGATGACAGTCCTGCAAAGTGAAATTTGTTATACCCATATTGCAGATGAGATGATTGGCTCAGAGAGCTTGAGAGACATTTCCAAGCCATGTCACCAAGTATACTTCAGCAGGGATATGCCCTGGATTTCCTTCTCCCACCCTTTCATCATGTGTAATCACCTGCCTGCTTCATAAAACAAGATTATCTCACTCACAAGGGCAAAACCCAAGCATTTTTAAGCTCAACAAATTCATAGATTTTGAATCAGTACTTTCTTTTATTGGATATATTTGTACAGCACAAAAGAAGTTTGCTATTATGCCATGAATCTATTCATTTGAATCAATTGTCTTTAAAACATTTTTATTGCTCATCTCATCTGTAAAAACTTTTACACAGGCACATTATACATTTATTTATTTAATGATATACATGTTCTGTGCATTACTATGTATATAGATTTCAGTAGAACAAATTTAAGAAGAATGAGACAAAGATTAAATGAATACTTTAAAGTTTGAAGTGTAATATTGGCATGAGAAACTTTTTGTTCATGTTAAAATTGTAACATACTATGTTTAGTTTTAAAAATCTTGAATTAGTCCTCTGCTCTGAAGATGTAGCTAGTACAGTTTATTTTAATACTTGATTTTAATGACGGTCACAGTTGAAAAATTATGTGTCAAAGATGTGTAGATCCAAATAGAAATGGTCAGCTATGATTACAAATTCACATCACTCACATTTCAATCCATCTACCAATTATGAGGCATCATTTGTTGAAATGTAGCTAGCAAATTTCTGCCTTCCCTAATGTCAATTGCATGTTTCTGCAAGTTAATCAGAGGATTTTTTTTAACAAAGGATGTCAAAAATCCATTCAAACTCTTCATTTGGAACATTTTTTTAAATGGGTTAAAATTTTCTTAGTTGTCATGTTTCATTAGGAAAGAAAGAAAGAAAAAAAATTCCCATTTGTGTGTTGTAAAATATGTGATATTTTTAGTACCTAAACCACAATGAAGTAAATACTTCCAGCCCTCATTATTTGAAAGATATTTTTCAGAATACCTGTTGCATAGCATACTGTTGTCAGCCACTTGTCATCACAGAACAGGCTGACACAAAAGCCTTTCATAAAAGAAAAATGTCTAAGCTCCATATTTGGCCATTCTCTAAGGAACTTTGCCTGGAGATTTTTGTAGTATTTCCCCCTCTCATTATGAATTATTCCAAAGTATCTATGATTTGTGATACTAGAAACTGTAAACCTACTTATCAACTATATAAACCGCAATACAGCTCGTATAGCAAAAACAGTCCAAAAAGAGAGTTCTGGTCATCAGCTCCTCCAGGATGAAGCACGATTATGTGCCATCTGTGCTGAGTAACCATCCAACATAACAGAGTAAGGCGCTTATGTCAATTCACTTTTTAAAATGTTAGTGAAGCTTAATTTCTTTCTCATTAATAAATTTAAATGGAAACTTTTAGAATTTTCTTTATATTTTGAGATCTCAGAAACTGATTTCACAATCTCACCCTCAATCCACTGTCAAAACAATATGTTATTATTTATTGAGCATCTACTAAGAGCTAGGCACCTTACATGTACTCCTCTGTAATCTTTTCAGTAATCTATGTAGAGCTGTTTTTTTTTCTTTTTTTATGTTTTTGGAGACAGAGTCTCACTCTGTCACCCAGGCTGGAGTGCAGTGGCATGATCTCGGATCACTGCAACCTCCATCTCCTGGGTTCAAGCAATTCTTGTACCTCAGCTTCCCAAGTAACTGGAACCACATGCGTGTGCCACCACACCCAGATTTTTTTTGTATTTTAACAGAGGTAGGTCATCACCAGGTTGCCCAGGCTGATCTCGAACTCCTGAGCTCAGACAATCCTCCTTCCTTGGCTTCTCAAAGTGCTAGGATTATAGATGTGAGCCACAGTGCCTGGCCCTGTGGCGTTGTTATCTTTACTTTATAGATGAAAATGTTGAAGTCTAAAGGTTAAGTAACATGCAAAATCACGTAGTGCCTCAGCACAGCTGAAACCCCTTTTCTTTGCCTTTTCCCACAGCATCTCCCTCTAGTAACGGATTTCACTAGCTTCTTCGTAAAAGTAGTCCCAATATTGGCTTCTTTTCCACGTATGTGTGTAATCTGTCACATTTTGAAAATATTATCAGCTCAATTCTGGAGCTTTTTATGTATTCTGTATGTGAAGACCACAGGCAAAATATATTTCTTTCATGGCTGTTGAAAACGTCCTATCACACTAGGCATGAATTATTAGGCTAGTGCAAAGGTAATTGCGGTTTTTGCTATTGCTTTTAAATGGCAAAAACTGCAGTTACTTTTGCACCAACCAATATTTCCATGGGCACTGTATGTGAAATCGAGACCTCTACGTCTTCTAGAGTCACTGTCAAGTACAACTTTAAAAGAGCTTAGGGGCCAGACCCCTAACCTGTCTCAGTAGCTCTCCTATTATATTGCTTTGATCACAGAACTATGACAGCTTCCCTTCACTCTTTGTCTAAGGCCATACCTTTGCCTAATATGCTTAAAATGTACATAATTTATATCTGTTTATGACTTAAATGACTTATGCTGGAGATTCCAAATACTGGTCAATAGGGTGAATGAATTAGAATTACATGGGACATGTATGCATTAGCTGGGGTGGGGTGGGGAGCAGCTTCTTAAAATATATATATTCCTAGGTCTTACTACCTCGAGTTTCTGATTTAGTGAATCTTTATTTAGATCCACGAATCTGTACTGATAAAACATTACTGTTGATGAGATTGGGCACAGTCAGATGGTGTATATATAATTTAATATTGGAGAGTAATAAAGTCTATGATGACAAAGCAGAGTCGAGAGATAGTGAGTGATTATAGATACTCTAATATGATTGTAGAGGAATGGCTAGGGAAGGATTTTTTGAATAGGTGACTGGAGCCCAGATCTGAATGAGGGAGCCATGCGGATATCTGAGGGCAGAGCATTGCAGATGGAAGGAGCAACAAATACAAAGACTTGTTGGAGGATGAGCAAAGAGTCTGGAGAATGGTGAGAAGTGATACAAATAAGAGTAAATAGGTCAATGAAGTATTAAGAGGCAATATCATATAGGATTTTATTGGCCATGATAACAGACTTAAATTTTTTTAATTTTTTTAAGAGACAGCGTCTTGCTCTGTTGCCCAGGCTGGAGCACATGTGATGGTGTGATCATAGCTCACTGTAACCTCAAATTCCTCTGTTCAAGTGATCCTCCCACCTCAACCTCCAGAATAGCTGAGACTACAGGCAAGCACCACCATGCATGGCTAATTTTTTAAAAAAATATTTTTGTAAAGACAGGGTCTCCCTATGTTGCCCAGGCTTCTTTCAAGCTCCTGGGCTCAAGTAATCCTCCTGCCTCGGCTTCCCAAAGTGCTGGAATTATAGGCCTGAGCCTATATTTATGGCTGGCCTAAATTTTATTTTAAATGTGATGAGAAGCCGTGTTAAAGTCAAGAGCAGGGAACTGACATGATTAGGCTTACATTTTAGAGGGATCATTCTGTTTGCTGTGTAAGGGAGAGGAACACCAGAGGCAAGAGCAGGGACCCTATCCAAGCAAGACTGTAACAGTGGCGTGGACTAAAGTGGGTGCCCTGGAGGAGATGAAAAATGGTCAGATCTTACACGTATTTTAGAGGTAGAGCCAACATGATTTGCTGATGGATTGGGTGTAGAGGACAAGAGAAAAAAAGAGTCACAAACGTGGAGTCAAAACTCCAAGGTTTTGTCCTAAGCAAATGAGTGAATGAGTCATCACTACAGAAACAGAGAACACTGAGGAAGAAGCAAGAATGGAGGAAAAATAGA
The DNA here is from genome assembly GCF_000001405.40 of Homo sapiens. NCBI lineage: Eukaryota > Metazoa > Chordata > Mammalia > Primates > Hominidae > Homo > Homo sapiens. The sequence continues at coordinate 112,399,000 of NC_000004.12, forward strand.
GTTCTGCTTTAAACATGATGAGTTTGAGATCCTGACATCCAACTTGGGCTATGGCGGGCAATTCCATATACAAGTATGCATTCGAGGAAAGAGAAACAGGATGGTATTTAAACGTGGGATTCATCATCAGTGTTGATATTTAAGGCCATGGTACAGGCTGAGTGTCCCTGGAGGAGAGAAGCAGTCTCAGAACTGATCGCTAGGGCCTTCCTTGTTCAGAGTTTGGGAAAGAAGCATGATCCAGCAAATCAGAGCAAGGAAGGGAACCAGGAGAATATGCAATGACAGAAGCCACCAGAAATTTTTTTCTTTTTTAAAGAGGGATTGATTTGCTCAGCTAAATCTTCTAGGAGTTTGAATAATATGAGAATAAATAAATGGTCACTGGATTTGTTAGCAACCTTGAAAAGAATAGGTACAGTGAAGTGTTGGGGATGAGAATTATAGATTTACAAAAGAGTGGCAGGTAAAGACGTGAGGACAGTGAGTTTAGACAACTCTTTTGGGATTGGCTAGAAAGGGCAGCAGAGAAATGGGATAGGAGCTGGAGACAGATGTATGACCAAGAAAGGATTGTTTTTCTCTCTTTTTTTTATTTTACTTTAAGTTCTGGGATACATGTACAGAACGTGCAGGTTTGTTACATAGGTATACATGTGCCATGGTGGTTTGCTGCACCTATCAACCCGTCATTTAAGTTTTAAGCCCCACATGCATCAGGTATTTGTCGTATTGCTCTCCCTCCTCTTGTCCTCCACCCCTCTACAGGCCCCGGTGTGTGATGTTCCCCTCCCTGCGTCTATGTGTTCTCATTGTTCAACTCCCACTTATGAGTGAGAACGTGCAGTGTTTGGTTTTCTGTTTCTGTGTTAGTTTGCTGAGAATGATGGCTTCTAGCTTCATCCATGTCCCTGCAAAGGACATGGAGTCATTCTTTTTTATGGTTGCATAGTATTCCATGGTGTATATGTACCACATTTTCTTTATCCAGTCTATCACTGATGGGTATTTGGGTTGGTTCCAAGTCTTTGCTATTGTAAATAGTGCTGCAATAAACACACATGTGCATGTGTCTTTATAGTAGAATGATTTATAATCCTTTGGATATATACCCAGTAATGGGATTGCTGGGTCAAATGATATTTCTGGTTCCAGATTATTGTTCTTAAGGTGGATGCTATTACAACATGTTTGGATGCAGATGAGAATTATCCGGGGGAAATTAATGATGCAGAAGAGAAGGGAGATATAATGTAAAGAAGGATGAGAATTGAATCTATAAGTAAGATATTGGTATCACACTTACCAGAGAAGGGTAGATGAAACACATAGGTTCCAACTCAAGAGGGTTGGCCAAATTTAGGTAAAAGAATAAGGACCATCTCTTCTCATTGACTCTCTTTTCTCAGTGAAATAACAATCAAGGTTAACAGCTGAGACTCAGGAGAATTAGAGGAATTTTGGTTGGAAAGAGAGAAGGAGGTAGAAATGTAGTCCCAATTGCCGGGCAGTAATGGGAGCCATCTTCAGGTTACAATCATAAATTTAAAGTATCATGGTTGTGTTTTTTTCCAGCCATTTTCACTTGCTTAGGTAGAAGCTCAGGTTAGGCAGATAATTCGATATAATTTTGGAATTTGGGATGCCAGTAAATAACATTGATTTTACCCTCCTGCATTCAGAACCAGTTGAAAGACAGATACAAAAGAGTAACTTTTATGACTATAAAACAGATAGGAGAATGTGGTTTTCAATATTCAGATGTGGGTTGGAAAATTCTTCACTCCAGACTCATCCTGTTGCTGGCAGGAACTTTCCTTCAGGCAGAACAGGCCAGAATGTACCCTCTCCCCTGGCAGGAAGATGTGAAGAGAAGAGAGAGGAAGGTCTGAGCCAGGTATGTCACCCCCATCAGATAATGTGTTTCATCCACAGAAGGGAGGTGAGAGTGAGTGTTGGGGAAAGAGCCTGGAAGATCAGCCTCGCTCAGCCAGAGTGCTCAACTCTGGCTGCTCATTGGAATCACCTGGGATTGTTAAAAGAAACCGATGCCCGGGTGTACTCCAGAGATTCTGATTTAACTGGTCTGGGCTGCCATCTGGGCGTCTGGACTTTTGAAAGTCCTACCAGGTGACTCTAATGTGAGGCCAAGGTTTTTCTCTAACAGTAAGCATAGTTGGCCTTTGCTAGAAAAATATAACAGAGGCAGAAAAAGGGAGAGGAGACAAGAATGCTTTTTAAAAGTTATGACATTTATGCACTATGGAATTTAAAGAGGCAAGTGAGGACATGAGATGACTGATGGGATAGTACAAAACAGTAGGGTCAGTGAATTGTATGGGTGTCCCAGAAAGGTTGCAGAATTGTTGGATTTGTGCTATAGAAGAAGGAAACTGAAAGAACAAGAGATAAAGACCAGAGAATGCAATGCTTAAATTGAGATTCTTAAATGCTGTCAAAATGGTACATTCTAAGTTATGACCAACCATGAGAGTAGGTGACTAAGGTGGGGTGTAGAAGAAGATAGTTGGAGAGAAGAAGGTCATGGGCAAGAGACACCAGTGTGCTGGAGGAATCATCAATGTGGATGCTGAAATCACAAAGAATGATGACTGGACTCATGCTAGCCATAACAACCTGGGCATCAGAAGAGAGGTAAGGTGTGCAGGTCCCTAGCTCCCAGGGCCATGAGATTCACAGGGATCCTGGTGAAATGGTTGCCTATTTTAATACTGCTTTCTTTTCCCTTTAACAGATGGCCAACTCCATATACAGTAGAACTGAGTAAGGGCGAGATAATCCAAAATATTATCTTCAGATATTAAGATAGAGAAAAAGCTTACAACTATTTTTCAGAAGGGTTTGAATCTGCATTTTCTATTGGTAAAAATGAAAGAAAGGCCAATGAAATGTTTACAGGCCCTGGGCATAAACCTTAAGAAAGGTCAGCTTTTTCTTCTCACCTCCTTATCACATTTAGTGGGTGGACAAATATGGAGCATGCTATGTTTGGTCTTCCATTGACTTGAGTCCACCAGTTTGATCTGTACCACTTTCACTCTGCTTTTACTATTGATGGATAACTATGCAGGCGTCAATCACTTTTCGTGTGTTTATTCTGCTAATTCCTCATCTCAGGACTTCCCCACCTCCCTTCCATATTTCCCTGCCTTTTACCAATCTCCCAATTTGTTATGCAGCAATAATTTCCCTTTACACTGCTCCTGCCAATTGCAGTGCCAGATGGCTTCAGTTCTGAGCCCCTTCACCCAGCCCCTCCTTGAGAACAGCTGCCATTGTCATTGCTGTGAACACATCACAGCTTTGAACCCATAGCTGGGACCTAAACTTGATGCTCAGCATCGGGAGGGGCTGGCGCTAATGCAAGGAACCATGAAAACAGCACACACTTTTCCTTGCTGCTGTTTAGCAAGAGCCCTTAGAAAAGGCTCTTCAGCATTTTTTCAATCATCTGTGTATCGAAATCTCATTGTGGAGTTTAATTCCTTTACCACCTGACTCAGCTTCCTAGCCATGAAGTTCCCTTTGTGCCTTAAACACAATTAGAACCCCGTTATTTCCCATCCTGAAAACAGATGTGAAAAAACAACTGCGTGTGTGTCTATGCGTGTGTCTGTGTACATGTGTTTGTGAGCCTCTCTCTTCAGAAATCCAGCACATTCTCTCATCCATATCCACATATTTTTATGTAAACATGATCACATAACAGGAAAAATACAATTTGGTTGCTATTTGGACAATCTTCCCCTAAGCCAGCTCCGAGGAAAAATAAAGGATTAGAATCCCTGTAAGTTTTTGATCTTGAGCTATACTATGTTCATCCCAACACTAAAACTGTTACTGTGACACTACCTAAAAAGATCATATTTTTGAGTCCTCTGTGATGGCAGGTCAGTCGTGGGCCTAAAAACCCAAACAAAAAGAATCCTGAATCAAATTCCATGTAGACCAATATGCATTTCAAAGGCATTGCCCATGTAATCAGTGGGTTAGGGTTTTTGTGTTGTTTTCTTTTTCTTTCTTTTTTAGGGGGTGGGGGAGGGAGAGGGGCTCTCTTTCATGGTAATCTAATTGTGCATAACCCAGGCACATTTTGCCATGTAGGGAAACTCTTTAGCATCCCTTCCCTACCACACAGTTTGGCCCTCTTTCATTTTTCTCCTTCTGATGTCAGAGTGCCCCCCGCCCCCTCCCCGGCATACATTTTGGGAAGATTCCCAGGATGATGATGTATTCTGCTTTGCTGCTGAGGAATTTACTATCCCCTTACTTGGCAGCAAATGAAAGTGGGTATTAATTTCTCAGAGTGCTGGTAGAAACACGACAGAGCGGCTGCAAGAATGATACCCACCTAAATCTGTATGTAGTTCACAGCATGCTGCCGTTTCAAAAGGGAAAGAGAAAAGAAAATGAAAAGAAAGAAAAGATTCTCCTGAGTTGACTTCTCTGCATTTTGCATCGTTAGGTCTTGGAGAGAGATGCGAGAGGTTTGGGCCCTGAACGGAGTTAAATTATGCAGCTGCGGGGATGCCAGGTCCTCCAGAATAGGATGCTTCGTTTAGATTTTCCACAATGCTATTGAAGTGCTTATTTTCCTCCTGAAGAGACACAAACAGATGCAAACTTCTGTAAACACTTTAGAAATGAATTCAGTGAGTTTGGCCTCTCAGCAGTGCTCAATAGCTGACAGAAAAATGTCTAATTAGTGCAAGTGGAAATAATAGGGCCACTTGGATTCCTTCCATCCTCCTCCAAGTCTACTTTTCCAAGGAACTCAAAGGCCCTTTTGTCTGGCAGGTCACCCTCTCTCAGGCTTTTGTGCTCCAATCTATTAAGAGTAGAAGGGGGAAAAATAGATTAGGCAGTGTTCTCTGCTCAAATATATGGCGTGTTCTTGAGGGATGCAGAATGGGGTGTTTGCAGCATCAGTTTACAGGTGCTTGGGGAGGGATTCCTCCATTGGCGACAGCCAAAAGCAATTCGCACGTGTGTGCTTAGAAGGCCCCCTTTCAAGACCCAGCTTTCCCTCACCAAGTGCCACAGAGCCCGCTCATTTTCCTTTTCCTTTCTCAGTTTCCAGTAACATCAATCCTCGGAGTTGGTGAAGAGAAGAAAGAGATTGAAAAAAATGAGAGGTTTAGCCATTCTCTGGGATAAACCTTGTAGATGTTACATGCATGACCCATTATTTCTGTTTTGCTCTATTGAAACTTCCACTGAAACTCACTTTGGGAGTCTGTCTGTGCCTGTTTATACCTCGTCATACAAGTGAGTGGGAATGAGTGGCTGACTTCTTTCCATTTTTTTCATGGTGTTCCATGTCATTTATTAAGCACCCACAATCTACCAAGCTCTGTGCTGAGCATTTGACCCACACTTCCTCTAATCCTGAAACAGCACCACAAATGAATATTATCCACATTTCACAAATGAGGTCATTGAGAATAGAGCAGTTAAGTAACTTGCCGTGGCAAATAAGTGCTAGAGCTAGGAAACAAACTGAGATACTCATGGTTTCATCTCAGACATTATATCGCTTTAATCTGTTAACATTTGACTTAGATCAATTTTTATATCTTCCATGTCTCTACTGCATATACCTAATTTTTACCTTCTTGAACTGTAATCTGGGGGTCACTTTCTATTGATTTCTCTTTCTGTGCAATCTGGGCTTCTTTCACACCTGGCAATTTTTGACTGAATGCCAGATTGTAAACTTTACCTTCTTGGATTGTGAACATTTTTGTGTGCCTATAAATATTCTTGAGCTTTGTTCTGGGACTCAGTCAAGTTAGGAAATAATTTGATCCTTTTGAAGCTTGCTTCTAAGCTATCAGAGTTGGCCAAGAACAGTCATAGTCAAAGGCTAATTTAGTCTCCCTACCGAAGCAGTACCTTTCTGAATACTCCACCCCATGCCCTGTAAATGACAAGACTCTTCTACACTGGGTGATAGAAACGCAAGCTGCTTGAGGCCTAAGAAATGCTTCCTATGTTCATTTCAGGTGGCTTTTTCCCCAGCTTTGGGTGGTTTCTTTCCATGCAGAAGCTGATCAATATTCTGCTGAAGACTCAAAGGGGACCCTCTGCAGATCTCTGAACTTGCTTTGTGCAGCTATTTTCTTCTGGTACTCTGCCCTGTGAACTCACTACCTGGGCCTCTCCGGACTCCAAGAAGCTCTGTCTCATAACTCAGGGAGACCATTTCATAAAGGATGCCACTGGACTTACAAAGTGTCCTTGTAGCTCACTGTGAGGAGTGCCCAACTGTAGTGATCCCCAGCTATCACCAAATCATCATTTGCTCTCATAATACCAACTTTTGCTAGAGAATATCAAACATGAAAATTAAAAGCCACCTCCCGGGAAGTCTTCTTTCCTTTCTCTCATTTTTAAATATATAACAAGATCACTCTTTTTATTTGGAATTTGTTTTTATTTGTCCCTGTTTTTCTTTTCATAGAATTTTCTCATTATAATGAAGGAAGCGGGGCCCCTAAAACCACTGTTTGGACTCAACAGTGACTTCAGCCCCAGCTTTAAAGACCCAACTTTTTTGTTTGTTTGTTTTTTGAGATAGAGTCTTGCTGTGTCACCCAAGCTGGAATGCAATGGTGCAATCTCGGCTCACTGCAACCCCCGCCTCCCAGATTCAAGTGATTCTCCTGCCTCAGCCTCCCAAGTAGCTGAGATTACAGGCATGCCCCACCACACCTGGCTAATTTTTTGTATTTTTAGTAGAGACGGGGTTTCACTACGTTGGCCAGGCTGGTCTTGAACTCCTGGCCTCATGATTCACCCGCCTCGGCCTCCTAATGTGCTGGGATTACAGGCATGAGCCACAACACTCTGCCAAGACCCAATTTCTTATTCCCAGATTAGGCATTGCTCCACAGAACCTTGCTGAGGCCACAGGGGAAAAGCAGAAGATGAACTGATGCTCAAGAGAGTTGTGTTCCTAAGTATTGGCAAAGATGTGGAGAAAATGGAACCTGTGCACTCTTGGTGGGCTTGTAAAATGGTGCGAACTCTGTGGAAAACAGTATGGATGTCCCTCAAAAAATTAAACATAAAACTCTCATGTGATCAAATAATCCCATTTCTAGGTATATATCCAAAAGAAGTAAAGCAGGGTGTCAAAGAGATATTTGCACACCTATGTCCATGGCAGCACTATTCACAATAAAAAGAGGTGAAGCCACCCAGATG